>NC_000001.11:239972000-240123515 GCF_000001405.40 Homo sapiens | reverse complement strand
TTTTTTTTTTGTGTACAAACAGACATACCGAGCTGTTGAGCAGCTAAGGAAAAAAAATGCTTGAATCACATGTTGTTTTTAAATTATAGGGTGACTGGGCAGATACACATCGTAGCTGCTATTTCCACAGCAAATCTGCCTCACGGACAGAAGTGAATTCTCCTACTTACATCAAACGAAGCTGCATTCGTCTGGGCATTCTGATTACACGGTTCCCTGAAGCAATCACTAAAAGGAAGGAGAAGACCCATGGCAATGATCCGGGAGCAAAACTTCTCTGCTTCTTCTGGAGGCCCGTTCTCCTGCTGGCTGAACAGCTTCTCCAACAGCGTTCGCCCTGCAGATGAAACACAGTCATTAAGAGCGAGCACTGCCGATCACCTGGCTCTGAACTCGCCAGGGGACAGCGGCTGGGTAAACACTGCCAGGGAACAACACCGTTTCCAAGGCTACTGACAGCGCAGAAAGGAGCCTCTCAAGCTAGGAGAAAGCTCTGTAGTCTGAGGCCAGAGTTACCACATAAAAAACTGCAGAACTGGTTTGCTCTCTCATCCCCCTAAATACCTCCTGCCTCAAAAGACAACAGGCGAAGTTATGGGCTATACAGCTTCCATCTAAGATTTTTAATTCAGATAGGGTCTTGCTATGTTGCCCAGGCTGGCCTTGAACTCTTGGGCTCAAGCAATCCCCCCACCTAAGCCTCCTGAGTGGCTAGATTTATAGGTGTGAGCCACCACGCCCAGCTCAGATTTTTTTTCTTTAATAGACATGAGGTCTCACTACGTTGCTGAAGCTTACCTCAAACTCCTGGGCTTAAGCCATCCTCCTGCCTCAGCCTCCCAAGTAGCTAGAGCTACTGGCACACACCACCTCACTCAGCTCCCTTTTGGATTTAATTGGTAAATCCAATTTTGGATTTAAATTTGGATCCAAGGCCAGACATGGTGGCTCACACCTGTAATCCCAGCACTTTGGGAGGCTGAGGCAGGTGGATCACCTGAGGTCAGGAGTTCAAGACCAGCCTGGCCAACATGGCAAAACCCCGTCTCTATTAAAAATACAAAAAATAGCCAGGCGTGGTGGCGGGCTCCTTAATCCCAGTTACTTGGGAGGCTGAGGCAAGAGAATTGCTTGAACCTGGGTGGCGGAGCTTGAAGCTGGGTGGCGGAGGTTGCAGTGAGCCGAGATCGCACCACTGCACTCTAGCCTGGGAGACAAGAGCGAAACTCCATCTCAAATAAATAAATAAATAAATAAATAAATAACCAGCCGTGGTGGTGGGTGCCTATAATCCCAGCTACTCAGGAGGCTGAGACAGGAGAATCGCTTGAACCCAGGAGGCAGAGGTTGCAGTGAGCCGCGATCACGCCATTGCACTCCGGCCTGGGCAACAAGAGTGTTGCCTGTCTCAAAAAATAATTCATAAATAAATAAATAAATTAATTAATTAATTTTGGATCCAAAAGGCTAAACCGCTTGAATTTAATTGCAGATGGTTCTCGAAGGAAGCAGTTCGTAACGCATCATGCCGCCATTTAGACTCAGAAATATCAGTGACTGACATTCACAGTGTCCATCATGGCGGGGACAGAGAATGAAGAGACGAAGAGGCAGGCAAAGGCACCAACCCACAAGAAGAGAGCTGGCCAGCAAAATAAAAATAAGTCACCCAGAAAAGGGATAAAAATTCACATTTCTCTCAGATGCTCCTCAGAAATATAACTCTAGCATAGGTCTGAACTTAAGGACTTTTTTTTTTTTTTTTTTTTTTTTTTTTTTTACTATTTCCCTAAAAAAAGGCAAGAGAGGCATAATAAGAAGACACTGGGCCAGGCGCGGTGGCTCACCCCTGTAATCCCAGCACTTTGGGAGGCCGAGGCTGGCGGATCACGAGGTCAGGAGATCAAGACCATCCTGGTTAACACGGTGAAACCCCGTCTCTACTAAAAATACAAAAAACAAAACAAAAAAAATTAGCCAGGCTTGGTGGCCAGCGCCTGTAGTCCCAGCTACTTGGGAGGCTGAGGCAAGAGAATCACTTGAACCCGGGAGACGGAGCTTGCAGTGAGCCGAGATCGCGCCACTGCACTCCAGCCTAGCGACAGAGCAAGACTCCGTCTCAAAAAAAAAAAAATAAAAATAAAAAAAATAAGACACTGGCTGAGGATCCTAGAGGGCCTGGGTCCACCTAGCCCAGGGGTTCTCAATCTTGGCTGAAACTGAGGATCACCTGGGGAGAACAGAATTGCTGGAAGCCGGGCTCAGGCATCAGTTTTCTACTGGTTGTCAGTTGGTTCTAATGTTAGCGAGAGTGCAGAGTCATAGCTATAGGCCTTAATTTTTTCTGACACATTTTTTTTTTTTTGAGATAGACTTTCGCTGTCACCCGCGCAGTGGCGCGGTCTCGGCTCACTGCAACCTCCGCCTCCCGGGTTCAAGCGATTCTCCTGCCTCAGCCTCCCAAGTAGCTGGGACTACAGGCATGCACCACTATGTCCAGCTAATTTTTTTTGTAGCTTTAGTAGAAATGGGGTTTCACCATATTGGTCAGACTGGTCTTGAACTCCTGACCTCAAATGATCTGCCTACCTCAGCCTCCCGAAGTGCTGGGATTACGGGCGTAAAACACCGTGCCTGGCCTAGCTCTTTAACTTTCAAACATTTATGTAGCTTGTTTTGCATTCACAAACTTTCATCAGAGGAAATGGAAAATCTCTAGGGTCCCTTCCAGGGCCACAATTTCTCCTCCTTCTAATTAGCAGATTCTTTCTTCAAATTTAGATCAACTGTTATCCAGAAAAGTCTTCAGTAATCCCCTTCCATGCTCTTTTGGAACCCTTCATAGTTTCTTTGTGTAATTAATTATTTTATCTAATTAGTTATGCAATCATTTGTTTAAAGTTGACCTTCCTCACTGACATATAAACTTGCTGATGGCCAGCATCTACCTTGCAAACTTGGTCACTTGCACATAAAAAGCATCAATAAATATTTTCAGGATTTCTGAATAAATACAATGCTATGATTCTGTGATAGATTCATTCATATCATAGTCAGAACTGGAAATGATTTATCAGTCTATACCATCAAACTTTTTATGTAAAGGGCCAAATAGTAAGTATCTTAGGCTTTATGAGCCACACGTAAGGTCTCTGTCGCATATTTTTCACTGGTTTAATTTTGTTTTGAGCAACTTTGAACATGTAAAAACCATTCTTAGCTCCAGGCTTTGCAAAACCAGGCCAAGTCTATACTTCAGTTACAATAACTACATTTCAAATGTCTAAATGTTCCATTCTACCAGGATACTAGTCATGCAGTTGTTATGCCTCTTTGTATTTCTGTCTATAAAACAAAACTAATCTCAAAAGCTGCCTTTGATATTTCGAGTGACAAAGCAGGACACAAGAGATCTCTCTATTTTCTCCATTTCTTCTGGTCATTAGAGAACATTCTTTGGTCTCCCAGGATTTTTTGGAGGGGAAATAACAAATTTTTCCCCTACAGAACTTCAGTTTGCCTGCATCTAACTGGAACTAAATATCTAGGAAATGGCATCCCTCAATTCTCAAGTGATTAATTATCATAACAGTAGATTGTTGTATTCATGTTACCGAATTACTGAAAATAGCCCTAAGACTAATTCTTTCCTACCGCTCAGATAATGTATATGACAAAAAATAAGGTCAGCAGGATCTTGCATGTGTGTGACTGAAGGTAAATGTGTACGTGCACATCCAGCCAAAAATTATCAAAGGAGTTCCAGAACAGTGTGGAGGAGAGAAAATGATGACCTGCTGGAACTCTACTTCCATGAAAGCATATGCCCCGAAATCCTTAATCAAGGGTCTCTGTACCACAACCCTATCATCACCCTGGGCCTGGTATTTCCGTGTTTAGCGGTAGTGGGGGAAATTATCCTGTGCTTTTAGCAGCATCCTTGGCCATTACTACTGGATGGCGGTGGCACAGCCACCTCGCCCCCAGCTGTAACAGCCCAAAATGTCTCCAGACATTGCCAAGTGTCTCCTGGGGCAGGGGGCAAAAATAACCCCAGGCTGAGAACCCCAGGCCTAACCTCTCTCTAAAGAAACTTCACCTCCTTCTTTAGTGATAACTAGGCTTTCCCTTGAGGATATCCTCGCCCTGCAATCGTCTCAGGTGGAGGCACTTTTTTTTTTTTTTTTGAGATGGAGTCTCGCCCTGTCGCCTAGGCTGGAGTGCAATGGCATGATCTTGGCTCACTGCAACCTCCGCCTCCCAGGTTCAAGCAATTCTCCTGCCTCAGCCTCCTGAGTAGCCGGGATTACAGGCATGCGCCACCACACCCGGCTAATTTTTTGTATCTTTAGTAGAGAGGAGATTTCACCATGTTGGCCAGGCTGGTCTCGAACTCCTGACCTCGTGATCCGCCCACCTCAGCCTCCCAAAGTGCTGGGACTCCAGGTGTGAGCCACCACGCCCGGCCAGGTGGAGGCATTTTAAGTCAAATCCTTCACATCTGAGGCAAAAAACGTGGGTAACATCCTTGTTCCCCATGAACACTTCCAGATGATTTATTCTCCTTCAAAACCATGAGCTTTTCTGAAAATTCCTGCCACTGGCTAGACCCTACTATCCCTCCTCCTTTCTGCCATCCACTAACCTCTAGTTATTCCCTCCCTTCGTCATTCACTAAATAACTCACCTCCTGCCTCACTGCCCCACGTTCCACCTCTGCTCCTATCATTCTTAGTGATTTGGACATCCACATGGAGAGCAAACCATTGCTCAGGAGGATACCTCGCCCGAGACCTTGATCCCCTTGCCTCCAGCTAACATTTTCTCCACCACAAAACAGCCACCCATTCCCATCTCACAGCCTCATATTGGTCACTATCAGGAACCGTACAACCTCCAGAAGATCAATTCCAAAGTTTACTCCAAACTCTCCAGTGGGTTCCCATCACCCTCAGAGTAAAATCAAATCCCTCACTGTGCAGTCCTGATAGGTAAGTTAGCAACAACGAGGAAGGGGGGTCCCAGGTGGGGGAGAACAATTGTTCTGAGTGACTGCTAACCACAAACAACCTGCTTGCACACTATCCTGTTCCCAGACACCTCACTCTGCATGCAGCCCCAGCAGCGTCATTTTATTTGCACAGTGGCCCCACAAGCAGGACCCTATCAAACTTTCCCCCAGCCCCTGTCTCTTGGCAGACAGCCCCTTCTCTGCTGTGCTACCCGTTGCCCTTTGCAACGTACTTACTCTCTAATAAACTTGCATTCTTCACCTCACTACTGTTTCAGTAAATTATTTTATAACCCAAGGCAACAGCCCCAATCAGTCACAACCCCCGCAACACTCACCAGATGCAAGAGCCACCTCCCTACCTCCCACCTCTCACCACTCTTGCCTACTGGCCTTCTCCTCCTCAAACACACTGAGCTCACTCTCACCATGAAGACTTTTGCACTAGAACACTCTTCTTCTGCATACATCAATGACTCCCTCACTCCTTCATCTCATTCAGGTCTCTGGTCAGTGGTCACTTTCACTGAGAGAACTTCCTAATACCCTTTCTGAAGGAGCACACCCCATTACTCTTGTTCCCATTATCCACTTTATTCTTCAGAGAGCTTAGCCCTTGAATTTATGTAAGTCTGTGATCTGTCTCCTACTCCTGGAGCGTAAACTCCATTTCAGCAGTCCCTGCTGTGTGTTTACCACCTTCTACTCAGGACCTCAAGGAGTGGCTGGCAAAGACGGGATAATCAATTAATTTTTCGATCATCAATGAATCTATGTACAAATGCCTGAATGCAGCATCTAACTCCTGAGAACTACCTTCTACTTTTAGGCTCTTACTCTAGAACCCCTTCTACTGCTCCATCCAGCATGCTGACCTTGAATCAGTTGTCCCTACTACTGTTGCACAATCCATCACTCGTGCTGTGTCACTTCCTTCCGCAGCGGCTTAAATTCCATGTTCTATCACTATAATTACATACTTCAAACACTTCAGCTTTCTTATCCCTCTCTCCCTCCACCACGCTTGTCAGGTGAAACCACGACCTGTTTCGGCGCAGCCATCCACTTTCTCTTTGCCTGCACCTGAACAACTGAACATTGTAAAAGAAAGCCACACAGGTGTTGTCTGTCTTGACTTTCAGTGCACAGCTATATACCTCAAGGAGGCCAACACTGCTGTGGGTTCTCATGTAAGCTTCCACTCCAATACAATGTTTAAACAATCTTCTCCCCACCTGACCCGTTCTTCCCAATGATGAGATGATATTGTCAAATGATTTACTGAGACAATGGAAGAATCTGAGACAAATTCCAAATATGCAAAAATGCTCACACTTGTCTTCCTCACAATGGAAAGAGGCCCTGTGACAAACAAGAGCAAGTTCTTTCCCTTGTGTTCTGAGCTGAATTCCTTATTGCGTGCCAAGATCTCACTTCTTTGGCTATCCCTTCTCTCCTGAAACACAAACACCTCCCTCTTTGCTGGACATTCCCAGTATCACACAAACATGCTTTAAAAAAAAAACCGAAAGAACAAATCCTCCCTTGAGCCACATCACTCTCCGCTCCCAGCTACGATTCCATTTCTTGGCTTCCCTTCACATCAAAACTACTAACCGGAATTAACTACGTTTGCTACCTCTCCCTCCTTGCTCAGTCTGCTCTAATTTGATTTCCATGCCCATGATGTGCCAGAAGCTGCTGGGCAGCATGGTATCAATAACTTTTTGTTTCCATTTTTTTTTTTTAAAGATAAGGTCTCCCTCTGTCACCCAGGCCGGAATGCAGTGGCCCTATCATAACTCACTGCAGCCTCAGACTTCTGGACAAAAGCAATCCTCCTGCTTCAACCTCCCAAAGTGCTGGGACTACATGGGTGAGCCACCACACCCAGCCAACATTTCTGTCTTCATCCTACTTAGTTTATCTTTCAGAAAAATTTCACTGTTGATTTACTCCTACTCCTTAAAGCATTTTACTCTCAGCTCATGATATTCCCTTCCCCTATTTTCTCTAACTCGCTAGCCATTTTCTCCCAAGTCCCTTTTAATGGCTTCTCTACCCAACACGGCAATGTCGGAGTGCTTCCTGGCTCACCCCACAGCTTATTCTCTCAACTCTTTCTATATTCTCTCCCATAATCTCGCCCAGTCTCTAAATACCCCATTCTTTGAAACCGGGCAGACCTTTGTGAACGCACTAACAGAGTATGGAAGAAGGGGCCCCATACCTGGACGGAATGCATGGGGCAGTTGGGGCAGCTACGTGAAGCCTCTGAAGACAGAGCGGAGCTCCACAAGACTGCTTTCCTGAGATACAGGTCACAAAGACCCACTGATAACACAGAATGTGAAAAAGAAGCTAGCCAAAACCCACCAAAACCAAGATGGTGATGAAAGCGACCTCTGGTTGTCCTCACTGCTCATTATATGCCAAAGATAATCATTAGCATACTAAAGGAATCGTTAGCATGGACCCGCCAGCGCCAGGACAGTTTACAAATACAATGGCAACCTCAGGAAGTTGCCCTGTATGTTCTTTAAGGGGGAGGGGCCCTCAATTCTGGGAATCTCCTGTCATTTTCCAAAAAAACTCACGAGTAATCCACCCCTTGTTTAGCATATGATCAAGAAATAGCCATAAAAATAGCCAGTCAGAAGCCCTCAGGGCTGCTCCGCCTATGGGGTAGCCACCCTTTTATTCTTTTACTTTCTTAATAAACTTGCTTTCCCTTTGCTCTGTGGTTCCCTCTTGAATTGCTTCCTGAGGGAAGCCAAGAACCCATGTTTTCTCCCAGGCAGAACCCCAGTTTTGGGGTTGGCTCTGTGACAAGACTGTATTGTAATAGCAGGAGGACTGGGGAAAAAGATGAGAATTCAAAGAACCACCAAACCAGCAGGTTTACCAGTTTTGTTCCTCCAGTGTCCCTCAACCTGAACTCAAGGTATCCCAAAACCCAGAAGTGGGCATCAGCACCGACAAGGAAAGCTTTAAGGGGCAATTTGGCAATGTGTGTCAGTGATCTTTAAAAATTCACCCCTTTGACCCAGAAATTCAACTTTATAAAAGCTATTCTAGGTAAATATTCAGAGGTATCCTCAGAGTGATGCATCATGGGAGTATTATGATGACTAAATGAGATAATGCATGTCAAGTATTTATCACAGTTCCTGGTACTATAACAAATAGATTATTAATAGTACCAAAATTCAAAGGAACTAAAATGTCCAACAATACAGACATAAATAAAAAAAGATAGCTTTATACACATGACTGCTAACTATACAGCCATTAAAAGCCATGCTATTACAGAAAGAATAATCACTTAATTGATTTAAACATATTAAATATATTTAAAGAAACCAGAAAAATAAAACATCAGCTATCACTGAAGAATGCTAGGGCACTGATAACAGAATAGGAAATAATGAGGCATTTATGCTGCCTTTCTAGAAAGAACTGTATTTCAGGGTAACAACCATACCTAGTGAATAAAGTCTTCAATACAGAAAAATTCCAGCCAAAATGTGCAAAAGGAATGATAGAATTGGCCGGGCGCGGTGGCTCACGCCTGTAATCCCAGCACTTTGGGAGGCCGAGGTGGGCAGATCACAAGGTCAAGAGATCGAGACCATCCTGGCCAACATGGTGAAACCCCATCTCTACTAAAAATACAAAAATTAGCTGGGCATGGTGGAGCATGCCTGTAGTTCCAGCTGCTCTGGAAGTTGAGGCAGGAGAATCACCTGAACTTGGGAAGCGGAGGTTGCAGTGAGCTGAAATCTCGCCATTGCACTCCAGTCTGGCGACAGAGTGTGAGACTCTGTCTCAAAAAAAAAAAAAAAAAAGAAATGATATAATTAGAAAATCACCATTTTGCAATCCCTAATGAAATAATGGGTTCACTTAAAGAACAGCAAGTGGATGGAAAATCCATTAGAGAAAAGGTCAATTGAAACTCTTGCAAAGAAAGGATCAAGCTGTCAGCCCCAAACCCAGGGATCATTCACAGCTTCAGGACAACTGAGAAAGCCAGACATGGTGGGCCCCTGCTGGGGGTGATCATAAAGTACACAGCATCCCCCATCGAGCTTTCCTGCTGTCCCCCAGCCTCTGGAACAAAAGAAAGGAGAACTCAGCATGAACCAATTCAACTGTCAGATTGCACCTAGCATCCATTCTAGAGTATCAGAGAGTTCTGAGGATGGACTAGTTACCAGGTAATATTGAACAACTTACTCTATTTGCTTTCAATATAAAGAATGACATTGTAGCATACTTTAAAAGTCCATTTTTGAGATACATATTTGATATTAAAATAACATGATGTCTGGAGCTTGTTTTAAATTATTTCACAAAAAAGTAGGTGGCATGGGGTAGAAGTGGAAAAAAAGGGTTGATAAAACTATTATGGCATTGAAAATATTGATGATTACTGAAGCTGAGTAATGGATTCATGGGAATTCATTGTAATTCTCTGAGTGTGTATATTCCACTTTCACAATAAAATATCTTAAATCACACTATTAAAAACATTTACTTACACAGAAATATGTGACACAAAAATCATGTGAAAATTCAAGATCACAAAACTAAACAAAGCATGTTCCTGATTTTGCAAAACCAAGAGATACGAACACAGTTTATTAAAGAGTCAAAATCGCTGTGGTGGGAAGGCAAACAGTTTTTGTTATTTCCAGGACACACACTCCAGCTGGACTATACTGAACTCCTTTTCTGTTCAAGGAATGTAATTTGACCAACCAGGTCAGGGGGAGTGGACAGAGACATGAACTTTTATTTCTCTTCCTGCATTTGATAATTGAGAATTTAATCAGGAGACACTCACCTACTAAATAGGATTAGGATGCCTTGAATCTAAACTAGGGAGAATGGACTGCCCTGAAGCCTTAAACACAACCTTATTTTTTTTTTTTTTTTTTTTTTGAGACGGAGTCTTGCTCTGTCCCCCAGGCTGGAGTGCAGTGTCGTGATCTCGGCTCACTGCGACCTCTGCCTCCCCGGTTCAAGCGATTCTCCTGCCTCCCGAGTAGCTGGGACCATAGGCGTGTGCCACTATGCCTGGCCAATTTTTGTATTTTTAGTAGAGATGGGGTTTCACCATGTTAGCCAGGATGGTCTCGATCTCCTGACCTCAGGCAATCCGCCCACCTCGGCCTCCCAAAGTGCTGGGATTACAGGTGCGCACCACCGTGCCCGGCCACAATCTTACTTCTTAACTGTGCAAACTGGCTGGCTGGGGCCAGGAACCAGAGGCTTCCCGGTTCCCTCTGACACGGGCTTTCACACCCCATGACCACAGTATCCCCCAGTCAAGGTATCCCCCAGTCCCCTCACTCTACTCCTTGGTCAAATCACTGTTCCTAGACAGACATGTCAACCACACCAATAAATGAAAATCATTGGCCCTAGAGTAATTTTAACTTTTTCAAGTGTCCAGCTATTCAAGCCTGCATTTTACTTCATATTTGCTTACGTTTATTTATTCAACCATATTTCCTGAGCTCCTACTCTTTGCAAAACAGCACTAAGTCAATTTGCCAAAAATCTATCTGCTGAATGAACAGCTCACAAAACACTGCCTGTGGGCAGCAGCCATTTCACAGCAGGAGCTGGTGCCAGCTAGAAGGTCAGTCCCTAGGGCCCGGACCACAGGGTCAGCCAGGGAGGCCTTCAGAAGCACACACTGTCCCAGGGTCACTTATCAGGAAAACGCAAGTGCAATCCCCATAAAGGAAGAGTTAGGCTCTGACACTGCCTAGAGAACACACCCCCAGCAGGTGCAGCAACACTGCAAGTGGAGAAAATTCTCAAAAGCTGATAAAATCATCTCTATAGCACAGATTGCTATAAACTTTATAAGTATATAAATGCTAGTTTCTGAGAAATTTATAACTCTATAAAGATAAGGGCAGGAGACGGGCAAAGTTTCTTGGGCTCTTTCTGCTCCCTTTCCTCCCTCCACCCAAATAAAAGACTCAGTGGGAGGGGCCATCTTCCTGTCCTTCAAACCCAGCCTCTAATATCATTTTCTGAACTAGAAAATGCAGGCCTGTCCAGATGCAGTGGCTCACGCCTGTAATCCCAGCACTTTGGGAGGCCGAGGCAGGCAGATCATGAGGTCAAGAGATCGAGACCAACCTGGCCAACAGGGTGAAACCCGGTCTCTACTAAAAATACAAAAATTAGCTGGGTGTGGTGGTGCGTGCCTGTAGTCCCAGCTACTCGGGAGGCTGAGGCAGGAGGCGCACTTGAACCCAGGAGGTGGAGGTTGCAGTGAGCCGAGATCACACCACTGCACTCTAGCTGGTGACAGAGTGAGACTCCGTCTCAAAAAAAAAAAAAAAAGAAAATGCAGGCCTAAGGATGTTAGGTGTCTTGTCAAAGGTCACGTTATCTTTATCTAGGAAAGGCCCATGTCATTGATCACACATATTACATATTATATACCTAATTATGCAGAACTGAAGAAATCTAGAATAGTATAACCATGAAGAATTCTCTCATTCTTTTATAGGATGGAAAGTGTTCCTTATTTTCTGCCTATTCCTTTCCCCTGAAAACACGTGGACTCTGTACCTTGACTTCATGAAGTACACCCATGTGGGGAGGCATGGGATTGCAGCCATAGCTTAAGCAACAGAAGCTACTTCCTGGATCTCAATCCCGATGTCAGAGGCGTTTGAACCAGAGTGACTCCATCTTGAATAGAGGCTGGGTAAAATGAGACCGAGACCTACTGGGATGCATTCCCAGGAGGTTAAGAAATTCTTAGTCACAGGATGAGTAGGAGGTCAGCACAAGATACAGGTCATAAAGACCTTGCTGATAAGGCTGATAAGACAGATTGCAGTAAAGAAGCCGGCTAAAACCCACTAAAACCAAGACGGTGACCAGAGTGACCTCTGGTCATCCTCATGTTACACTCCCACCAGTGCCATGACAGTTTACAGATGCCATGGCAACATCAGGGAGTTCCCCTATATGGTCAAAGAAGGGGAGGCATGGATAATTCACCCCTTGTTTAGCATATCATCAAGAAATAACCATAAAAATGGGCAACCAGCAGCCCTCGGGGCTGCTCTGTCTATGGAGTAGCCTTTCTTTATTCCTTTACTTTCTTAATAAAGTTGCTTTCACTTTACTCTAAGGACTTGCCCTGAATTCTTTCTCGTACAAGATCCAAGAACCCTCTCTTAGGGTCTGGATTGGGACCCCTTTCCGATAACACTGATGCCTCCATTATGCTAGGTATGGCCTTAGACAGGTTACATAACCCCTGGTAATCCTGTTTCCTCATCTAGAAATTGGAAATAATCATCCTCATTACCTCCGAGGATTACTGTGAAAATTAAATGAAACAATTTTTGTAACAGGCTTAACAGTACCCAATAAATGTTACCTGTTATTATTATGATCAAGATATACTTCAAATACTCTCTACTTGTAAATGTGATTAAAAATGTTGGTTCAACTTAAAAGAAGGAAATCATAAGTTGGATCTAAAAGCATTTGAAATAGTACGGTAATAGGCAAGGTAATCACAGATTCAAATATCTTCATCCACCAAGTTTTGGGTTTTTTTCCTTAAATTTAGTAGATTTTAACAACAAGGTAATATTTAAGACACTGCTTGCTAGAATTCCTAGCCTCAATTTTTTTTAAAAAAAAGGGCTTGCATATTTGTTTTACTATATTTATTAAATTCACATCAAAAATAATATTCATTAAATGAGAGTCGGGGACTTATTAATCATTAATGTTCTCCAATTATTGCTGTACTAATCCCCTCACGCTCTTCCCACATATTCTTCCACACTGTAGCTAATCAAAAGTGAAGCTTGTAGAATCAGCTTTGCAGTCATACACTAGCTATAAATACTCCTCTTACCTTGAGAAGCAAAACTCACAAGCCTAGATAAACATGGACACCGCAGTTAGGGGGTAAGTTTTTATTCACCATCAGAACAAATGTTGCAATCCTCTTGCACAATGAAGAAGTAAAATCAACTCTCCTTGCACTAGGGTTTTATTGGGCCTGTGACCATTGACACTATAAAAAGTAAAAAGTATTTTATTTGAACAGGGCTATACAATGTAAAAGGCATTTCTGCATCTACTGTCAGCTCTGTGAAGTAGGCAGAGCAGGATTTATCATCACAACTTCAAAGAAACTGAGGAATGAAAAGGTTCTAGAGTCTGCCCGAAGTCATAAGATTAGAAAGTGGCAGTGCCAAAACTGGAGGCACACTCTGCTCTCCTCATTTTTATTCCAGGGATCTTCTACTTCTGACTCAGCCAGCAACTCTGGGAAAAGCTTCTGACCAACTTTCTGCATTCGGATATAAAAGAAACAGACCATGCGGTCTGTGCCCTGCAGGGGCTAACAACCTACTTACAACAACCAAAGCCCAAGAAGGAACATTTTAAAAGCAGTCTGTGTAGAACACACTGCCTTAATTAAACATCCTTAGTGGAACTGGGAGGTTGGGGAGGAGCAAAGATAAGATATAACCAAGCACTTAGGAGTCCGTCATATCCCAAAGAATGTCCTAGGCCTACTAGAGGAAGACAAGCTGAAGAAAACATGCTCCCTGCCCTTAACTAATAATAATAATAGTAATAATAATACAATAAGATGATGTAGCTGGCATACTCTTGTAGAAGAGATGCAGAGTACAGGCTGGTTGCTAACTGCTGACAACATACCGCAGGGAGAGTCAGTGTCTCAGGATGATGTATTTGCTATAATTGATGTGGAACACATCTTTTAATACCCTTCTCAATATTTCTAGTGTCAAGTAATACGAATGCATCAAATGTGCGTCTCAGTTCACCACAGAGAACAGCCAACTTCTTCAAAACAATATTAAAGACACACTGTAGGCACTTTTTCTTGAAGACTGAGAGGATCTTCCTGCAAGAGTATCTAAATGAAGGGTGTACATAGGTTCAGTGAGTTCAACATAGAGCAGGGAGAGTCTCCCATTTTACTGAGACAAGAAAGTGTCCAAACAGGAATAGAAGCTTTGATGACAGACAGTAGGAGATGCTCTTCTCCCAATACCCTTGATGGTGCATGTAACCTTTCTGGTTTTACTCATTCCAAAGACTAATCATTGTCATGAGGACGATCAAGTGACTCAGTGACAATCCACTTCAGTATGTTCATCTTCAGTATGTTAGAGCCAGAAGAAATCTTAGAGATCATTTCGTTCAAACCACTAATTCCACTGTAAAGAAATCAAGGCCCAAATACTTGAGTCATATGTCTAAGGTTATATACATGAGAGGGCTAAGTGTAAGTTTTGTACTGAGTTTTATGTCCTATGATAGCATTCAATTTTAATCATCTGTTTGAAACTTATATTTTAATAGCCTACAAATATGTCACTGATATTTTTTCCTTGTGTGCATGTGGGTTTTTTGGGTTTTTTGGGGTGTTTTTGAGACAGAGTCTCGCTCTGTTGCCCAGGCTGGAGTGCAATGGCAGGATCTCGGCTCACTGCAACCTCCATCTCCTGGGTTCAAGTGATTCTCCTGCCTCAGCCTCCTGAGTAGCTGGGATTACAGGCTCTCGCCACCACGCCAGGCTAATTTTTGTATTGGTAGTAGAGACAGGGTTTCACCATGTTGGCCAGGCTGATCTTGAACTCCTGACCTCAGATGATCCATCTGCCTCGGCCTCCCAAAGTGCTGGGATTACAGGTGTAAGTCACTGCACCAGGCCCCTTCTGTGCATTTTTTAATGGTAGAAGGATGAACAAGACAGTTGCTGTATTTTAAAAGGTGTCAACACAGGTTTCTGTTTCTTCCAGGCCACTATATCTTATGCAAAATGAGAATTAAAACAGATGTCTTGTCACGTTAAATTTTTCTCTGACCTTATAGCTCAGACATAACTATCTAATAAACTTCCCTGATATCCCATGTTATCTATCAATTGAAATATTAGGAGGAAATAAGGATGTTGACAAGCAAATCTATTATAAGACATTAATGATAATTGCTTAAGTTTATGATGTCACTGAATACAGAGATATCACATATTCTGTATCTCACATACTAACGGCTTATACTTGCCAAATAAGAAAAAAAATAAGGAGGGCCATTTATGATCAAATAGAAATTACCATGTCTAGTTTTAGGTCCAAAATGCTGCAGGTTTTATAGTAAAAAGAAGACTGCTACAAGGATAAATATCTAGGGTTGTCTCAAAGAAAGAAAACAAACGTGAAATCCAATAGCTAGACAAACCATTAAGGAAAACAAGTCACAAAACACACAAGGATGATGAACTCCCTGCCCTCATCTGCAAAGATGACCATGGCTAATAAAGGGATTTGGACCAACATAAAGCAGAGTGAAACTCTACTACCCCTGGAGGAATCAAAATTCACTGAATCCAGGTACACCTTTGATTTAGACACTCTTACAGGAAGATCCTCTTAGTCTTCAAGAACAAGTGCCTACAATGTGTCTTCATAATTGTTTTGAAGAAGTTGACTGTTCTCTGTGGTGAACTGAGGTGCACGTTTGATGCATTTATGTTACTTGACACTAGGGATATTGAGAAGGGTATTAAAAGATGTGTTCCACATCAATTATAGCAAAAACATCATACTGAGAGTATTCAAAAAGTGACTTTGTTATAGAGAGTTCTCGGTACTACATGTCTATTAAAATTTATATAAAGTTCAATTTGACTAGCATCAAGGGATTTTTTTTCCTGGGGAAGAGAGAAAAAGACACTATCCAACTTCAATTTACCAAAGGCTGAAAATGACAAAAATAAATAGAGAAATTTAATCTAATAAATCTAATGAAGTTGAAAAAAGAATATCATAGAACACATATGATGATAACTACCAACCACTTTTCAGGACCTATGACAGGTTATGAATTTCCTGGTATTTTTTTAAAAGGTCATGAAATAAATCAAGATTAAAAGGGAAAAACTATAGAAAGACAAAAGAAAAATGTTTTTTTAATTTAATTGTTGTATCTATTAAGTTAAATCCATAAAAGTGACTCTAATAAATGGCAGCTTCTAAAATCACTTGGTTGAAGAGTTTTAAATAAATATTTAAAGCAGTCTCAAATAAAAGGAATGAGTCACACAGACCACAGCTGCTGCTCTTACTTTTCAAGTCATACATCATTGACTCTCCGAGCTGGAAAGAATATCAGTGGTCAAATTCAGCCTCTCCAGGGCTACGACCACCCCATTTGATCTTCACTCAGTCTCTATTTTAACATCTCCAGTGATGATGAAATTGCTCTTCTCAAGACCACGCATGCCAACACTGGACATTCTGTAAGGGATGGCTTCCCTTATGCTGACTTGAATCATACAAACTGCTATCACATCTAGCTCCTTCATCCTGAACACATTCAGTCTTCTGCTTGAATATAAATCTGAGGTTTCAATTGTGTTCCTACAGTCAATGGAAAGCTACTGGAAAATTTGGAGAGTGGCATTAAAAATCCTCCTGGAAAAGGCCGGGCATGGTGGCTCATGCCTGTAAAACCGGCACTTTGGGAGGCTGAGGCGGGCAGATCACCTTAGGTCAGGAGTTAGAGACCAGCCTGGCCAACATGGTGAAACCTCGTCTCTACTAAAAACACAAAAATTAGCTGGGCGTGGTGGTGGGCGCCTGAAATCCTAGCTACTTGGAAGGCTGAGGCAGGAGAATTGCTTGAACCCAGGAGGCGGAGGTTGCAGTGAGCAAGATCGCGCCATTGCACTCCAGCCTAGCAACAAGAGCAAAAACTCTGTCTCAAAAAAAAAGAAAAAAAAATCCTCCTGGAAAGGAGGGGATGAGTATTTAAAAACATATTTTTGGAGGTATATTTTAACAGGATGTAGAGACTAATTAAATATAAGGAGGAGGAAGAGTGGCATAGCTTGGCTAACTTGCACTTCCAAATTTCTGGCTTAAGAAACTGGGTAAAGAGCTTTGTTAGATGGTATTATCTACCAGGAATCCAATAATACATAAGGGAGCAGGTTGGGTTTGGAGAAAAGATGAGTTCAGTTTGAAACTATTCCCGTATCTATATAAAGATGTTTAAAAGACAATATGAAATTGGCACCTGAAATTCACAAGAGAGATCTGAGCTAGAAATATGATTTATCAACATGCAGGGAAATGTTGGATGTTTCATAGACTACTCAGGGTGGATGTTAACACAGACTACATATGAAGCCTGGGGAGAAAGCATCATTTAATTAGGAAGAGTTATAGGTGGAAGAAGATCATATGAAGGTGTCTAAAAGGCATCCCAAAAGGCAGAAGGCAATCTAAGAAAAAGTATGCAATGGATACTCGGGGATGAATGGTGTTCTGATTGGATAAAATACTATAGAGTTGTTTAAATTATGCTTTTGAAGTATTTTAAATAATTAGTGAGATTTTTATTAATGTTCAATGTAAGACACAACGTACTAAATTAAAACGTTAATAATGTTTCTGGGTTTTAGGAATATGGCTCCCCAAAAAGTGTATGGAAATCCACAAAAACTTACCATATTTAATGCTAAAAGGAAAGCCACAATAATTCCAAAAGAATCTACACAATGTATACTGTTCTATGATTATATTTCAATTATTTGCTGTAAAAAAAAGCACTACCTTTAAAATCTCATATAACTGTAAGCTATAGATTTTACTAAATAAACTTTACATTTAAATAACGTTCATAAAGGAAATCATACAGTATTTATACCTGATAGATACTGAAAACATTTCTTTACCTTAACAATAATCAACTAGAAATAAAACTAAAGTAAGATCCCATTCCCATTAGTAATAAAATATATGAAGCATCAGGAAATAGTTCAGCAAAGGAAACACAAACTCTTTATGGAGAAAAGTCTAAACTCTATTAAAATGAATAAAAGATGATCTGAATAAATGAAGAGATCTTTCACATTCTCAGATAAAATGATATTACAAAAGTGGAAACAGTCCTCAATTTAATCTATGAATTGACTAAAATCTCAATCAAACAACTTCAGGATTTTTTAAGAAACTCAACAACCTATTCTAATTTTATTCTAAATTTATATGGAGGCCGGGTGCAGTGGCTCACACCTGTAACTCCCACACTCTGGGAGGCCGAGGTGAGTGGATCACTTGAGGCCAGGAGTTCAAGACCAGCCTGGCCAATATGGTGAAACCCAATCTCTACCAAAGATACAAAAATTAGCCGGGCATGGTGGTGGGCGCCTGTAATCCCAGCTACTCAGGAGGCTGAGGTAGGAGGATCACTTGAACCCAGGAGGTTGAGGCTGTAGTCAGCCGAGATCACGCCACGGCACTCCAGCCTGGGCGACAGAGTGAGACTCGGTCTCAAAAAAAAAAAAAAAAAAAAAAAAAAGAAGCATAAACTAGGAAAGCATTCTGGAAACTAATCTGACAGTACCTACTCAAATAAAACCTTTTATTTAATGACCTGACAATTCCACTTCCAAATGTATATCCCAGAGAAGTTCTCCCATAGCTCCCTGTATGGAAATATTCATCAGACTGTTTTCTCTGGTGGCCGAGAAGTACAGGAATCTAGATGTTTATCACCATGCTCATGTTTAAATAAAATCTAGGGAATGTGCCCAGAGACACCACATTGAACAGCTCTAGGGGAACATTACTCACACACAATAAAAGGTGAATGGTGACCCTGGTGTTGAACAACCCAGCAGGACTTTCATTCTTAGGAATAGTATATAACAGTGGGAAGCAAAAAACAAGGTGGAAATTCACCCAGAAAAGTTCGTAGATTTTTTTCCAAAGGTGGTTGAGTTTTGTTTTGTTCTTTTTAAGAAACAGAATGAGGTCTGCAACTCAGAGTATTTGTATAAACCAAACATAAACAGAAATACTATATACTTTAGAAAAATGCAGACTAATTCAAAGAGAGCAATAGATAAAAGCAGTTCTGTATGTCTACTAGAGGCTTCGGAATGGGAAGTGAAAATGCAGGGAGTATGATAAGGACAAAACGAGTTTTGCCTGGACTGATGATGCGAGTGTGTCACAGACTGGATTCTCATGAATACAACTACATGGATTCTTTTTTTCTCTGAGGACCAGGAAGAAAAAGTGTTAATAATACCTAAAATTACCAGAGAGAGCATGAGCTATCTGAAAAATGACTGAAGCACTTAGGACGAGGTGAGGAATAGTAGATCCTGAACAATGAGGTGACAAAACTACAGAGATTAAATATTAATACATATTAAAATATATATAATGTCTATTATATATAATATATAGCTTATATATGCTATATAACATAATGTCGGCTGGGCACGGTGGCTCACGCCTGTAATCCCAGCTCTTTGGGAGGCTGAGGCGGGCGGATCACGAGGTCAGGAGATCGAGACCATCCTGGCTAACACGGTGAAACCTCGTCTCTACTAAAAATACAAAAAAGATTAGCCAGGCGAGGTGGCGGGCGCCTGTAGTCCCAGCTACTCGGGAGGCTGAGGCAGGAGAATGGCGTGAACCTGGGAGGCGGAGCTTGCAGTGAGCCGAGATCGCACCACTGCACTCCAGCCTGGGGATAGAGCAAGACTCCGTCACAAAAAAAAATAATAATAATGTCTATATTAATATATTTAATATGTACATAGTAAAGAATTTAAACTCAATAGCCTCAGGGTGATAGGGGACCAATGACATGTTTCTATACCGGAACCCATTCAAGTTTGTATGTTAAGTCATTTACTCTCTTGCTTCATGCAGAATGGAGTGGAGAAACGCAGGTTGTGGACAAAAGAATGTTGAGGAGGCTGTTGATAGGGATTTAAACTAGGAAGGGTAGAGATAATGGAAACAGAAATTGGAAGACATTTTAAAGAGATACTTAGGAAAAGAAAAGAGAAAATGGAAAGATTAACTGGGTGTGAAGTATGAGAAGGATGGAGGAATCCAAGAATATGGCAAAGCTAGACGGCAATGCCTTGTTTGGGAAACCCAGAAGGAGGGTGTTAAGAGGGTGGGTAAAATAGTAAGTATAGTTTTAGACACGGTGAATATCCTAGGCTTGTGATGTCTAAGTGAGATATGTCTGAGGTCCAGAGAAACACAGAAACTGCAGACACAACTCTAGCAGTCTATTGGTAACTGACAAAGACAAAAGCACACATACAAAAGGAAATCAGGGGCTCAACCTTAAGGGCTTAGCCTCAAGCTAAAGCTAAAGCCACATGCCTAGCTTTTATTATCCAAAAGCAGATGATATGAAAATGATCTGTGAATTTAGAGTCAAATGAGTCTCCTTAGAGAAATAATCCAAGTTATTAAAGGCATTGGCCAGGAGCAGTGGCTCATGCCTGAAATCCCAGCATTTTGGGAGGCCGAGACAGGCGGGTCACCTGAGGTCAGGAGTTCGAGATCAACCTGGCCAACATGGTGAAACCCCGTCTCTACAAAAAAATGCAAAAATCGGCCGGGTGTGGTGGCATGTGCCTATAGTCCCAGCTACTCGGGAGGCTGAGGTGAAAGAATCTCTTGAACCTGGGAGGCAGAGGTTGCAGTAAGCCAAGATGGCGCCACTGTATTCCAGCCTGGGTGACAGAGTGAGACCCTGTCTCAAAAAAAAAAAAAAAAAATTAAAGGATCACCTTTTTACTGATATCACGTTGTCAGCCCAGTCAAATGTCTCTCCACTTTCTCCACTTAAATCACTGCAGTTCTTATACAACCCTCTCTGCCTATCCCCAAAATATTGAATCCAACAGAGTCAACATACTTCTGGATTTTTCTAAAAATTGAACAGAGACAGATCAATCCCTATACCCTGAAAGAAACTGCAAGGATACCATCCACACATTTTATATCCCCAAAGCCATTTAACCAAAATAGCACCAAAAGGACAGAAGATATAATTGGCTTATAGAAGAACATTTTGGTTAGCTGCAAAATGTAACACTTCCCACAGAGAGCTCACATAACTTACCCTCTCCAAACAGGCAAGTATTGGTCTATAAGAAAAAGAAGCCAATTATCTACAAGTATATAGGTTAAAAAATGAGTTTCAAAGATTATCCCTATTGTTACCTCATTTCTTTTATTATACTTTTAAAAGATAAACCTTGTATCTCAATAATGAAGAGCATCCTTACAAAACTCTCCACAGAGTATTCAAATGCATTTATTTGGGATCCTGAAATAGTTCTATTCTAGTCCTTAATGGGCTCAAACAAGCTGTACTTGTTTAAGGCCAATGGAACTTTTTTCTTTTTAAAGTAAAAAACCTAGGACCTCTCAACACCTTTTAACCTTCTAGTTTCTAAGAAATTTTTAATATCAATGCACACTTCTAAATGGAATACCACAGACTCATAAAAAGTATTTCAGTAAGCATATTCAATAGTAGGAAAAACTGAAAACATAACAAAAACCAATATATTAAAGTATATTGAAGTAAGAGAATTAATAGTACTGCTTTTATTGAGCAGTTTAAACTATAATGAAAAATTCAAAGCCTACAATCCATCCAAGAACAAGAGATGACTTACATTGCAGATAATGAAACTAAAAGTAATGACTCAGTATATTTTGTGCCAATATTAGAAAGCCTTCATATATTCTAAATCTTCGAGCCATACATTATATAACATAGCTTTCCATTTCATACATTTTCATAACACACGATCAACCATCATACATAATCATTATATCAGTGTTCAAAAACACAAGGCCCTATCGAGACCAGCCTGGGTAACATAGTGAGACCCTGTCTCTCCAAAAAAAAAAAAAAAAAATTAGCCAGGCATAGTGGCTCACGCCTGTGGTCCCAGCTATTCTGGAAGCTGAGGTGCTGAGGTGGGAGGATTGCTTGGGACCAGGAGTTTGAGGCTGCAGTGAGCCATGAGCACACCACTGCGCTCCCGCTTGGGTGGCAGAGCATGACCCTGTCTCAAACACACACACACACAACACAGACACACAGGCACACACACACATACACACACACACACACGGTCCTATTGTCAGATAATGACAGTCTAACCAATGCAAATCTCCTTCAGCATGAATCAAAAATTGATCAAAACTATCAAAGTCAAAACATCACCACTCTCACCATCAATTACTCCGTGGTATAAACGGGTCTTCCGGCATAGGAATTTTCTTCAGCTCTACCAATAAAGGAAAGCTCTAAATACACAGAGCATCCCTATTAGGGAGAAAAGGTACCTGCTGGAATCACCATATCTATAGAACCACAGTGCTGAAATTGACTTGAAGGAAGACGCTTCCCAGCAAGATTGCATTCACTCTTCCAATCTGGGAAGCCAGGGTATTAACAAGAGGCAAGAAATGATTGCCTTGTGCCCTAATAGGAAGCTGGTGGTAAAACGGAAAAGGGAAATAGATTGTTCTCAGCCTGCACTCTTCCCATAGTGCTGACACTAGCTTACTGAAACACATTCTTTCCCCTCCTGCGTACCTAAAACAACCATTTAAATGACACAGAATTTCTTCCTGTATGTGTCCACTCTATCACCAGGTACTACAACAAAGAACCCTTCTGCATGAAGTACAAAAAAAGACTCAACTGAGTAGTGCCTAAGCCTTTTTAAGCATAATTTTGAAACATAATATAGGCTTGATTTTCTCAAGAAAGTATTCCATTCCTCCTGAAAACAATAGGACTGTTTTCAGTCCATTGCAGCTCTAGGGTAACAGATAATAAAGCTTCCAGTGGGTTCCTGGTAGGTTGGAGCCTGACTGGATCACAGAATAGAGGCAGTAATTTTCCTATCCAATCAACACTTCCAAGTACATCTTTACAAAGGAAGAAGACATAAATTCTTCCCTCCTTCTCACCCATAGTGGAGCAGTAGGTATCAAAAGGATAATAAATCTCTAGTGTGGTTAGCATCTTATTATAGCATCCAGAAATAATTGTTACTCATTCTTAGAATTTTGATGTTATGACTACCTTGCTTTACTACCATTCCGAACTGACTGAGGTCATATTTTCCATATATTTTAAGATAAAAAAGCCTTAGAAAGTTTCTACTGTCACTAAAATGATATCTAATAACTATCAAGTCACAGGCAGTACATTTTTGTTTCTTCCTAATGGTTCCTTAATGCTAACTTTTATTAGCATTAGGTTAGTACTTAGAATACAAAACAGGAATGAACAGAGGAATACAATTTTCTCTATTCCCTTTACCTCTTCTTTCATTACAATAACATTTATATTTGGAAGGTCAGTTGCTGTAATGTCATTACTATTTTAACATTAACCTGCAGAAACAAGAATAGCTATTCTTCTATCAACATAAGTTCTATAAAGTATCATTGATTCAATCACACCTCATTGAAAATAATTAATTTTGACTGCCCAGAAAGGTTAGCAATTTTCCAGCTTCAATTCAACTAGTTTTAATTGCCAGTAGGAAGCCTGGATACTCAACTTGTCTATATCACTGCCAAAAATGGTGAATGAGCAAGTATTCATCAAGACCTCAGTACAGTCGGTGCTTTACACATATTGACAGGCACAGAGCAAGGCACGGAAGAGATATCTGTGGACAGATTAGTAGGAGAGGAGATGATGGATGGATGGAATCGGGTGAACAGGCAAGGAGGAAGGAAAGGCAGAGGGTGGCAAGAAAGAAGACCAGAAGAATCCCTAAATCCAAGAAGCATATATAATATGATCTAGACAGTAAAGTACAGAGAAAGTGAGATGACAGCCAGTAAGGTCTGGCTGGAAAAGATACAAAGAGGAAACGGAATTCAATCAGCACTTTTCAAATGCTAAAGCAAAAGAGACGAATCATGTATTCCAAGAGGGTAAAGCTGCAAGACAAAGGCACAAAGTCGGGAAAATGAAATGCATGTTCATAAAACAGTGTAAAGTAGAGCATTTATGAAGGAGACCGTGGGAAGGTAAAGCTGCAAAGTCAGGGGTTTGCAGCCAGATGCTGTGCAGAGCAGAAACACTGAGGGTGTCAGCTACCGCCTCCTCTTCCCACCCCTTCTTTGGAAAGCAGCACCCTCCCCCAAATCTTACAGCCACACCCCATCATATGCTTTTCTTATCCAACCCCCCACCACAGAATATCTGATAAGTGACAAAATGCTTACAATTCCAGAAAAAAAAAAGAAAAAATAATACATAAACAATTTGCAAAAAAAAACAAAACAAAACAAAACTGGGGCTCAACTAGTATCTGGTCAGTTCATATCCTGCTAAGTTTTGTATACAATTTCAGGGTTGTTTTAACAAATTTGGCTCTGATCACTTTGAACAATGACTTTTTTTTTAAGATAATAAATCCAGTCAGGAGAGCAAATAGCCCCAGTTAAGTGCCTCTCATGTACCAGGCAGAATTGTAGGGGCTTTATGTATGCTATTTCATTTCATCTTAATAGTATTAATTTGAAATTATTCTTCTACCTTCATAGATATGAGGAAAAATTACTGGAGACTCACTTAGCTAAACAGCAAAACTAGGATTGCAAATATACCTAGAATAAACGTAGTTAGAATAACTACTGCTACCTTCATCCAACTGTATATTTTCTGTATCTTTTCAGAAGAATCAGAAGGAAAAGCACTAAAAGTACCTGCTCCATTTCAAATACGCATGGCTTATATCCAAACGCCTAAAGCTCTTAAAACTAGGCCCATCCTCAACTCATAAAGCAGTCATTAAAACCCATCCCTGAAGCTACTGGTGCACTTGACTTCAATCCAAACCACAGGCCTAAAGAAACCATGAGAAAGGATGTTTCAGACCCATCTAAAATGATTGAAGATCAGTGTTCTGGTCCCCGCTTACATCGCCAAATTCTTCTCTGATATATGGAACCCAGTAAGGCAGTATTTAGGGGAAAGCATAGCATTCATATAAACCCCTTTCCTTTTATAATAAGACATTTTATACGTATCAGGCAGATTCTGACCTTCATTCGTCAGACATTAACTGGACATCTATACTCTGTCAGGGGCTCTGCTGGAAATCAAACTACTCCTGGCCTTAAAAAAATCCAATGTAGCAATTTACCAAGCCGTATGAGAAAATGTGTACTCCTAGAGTGGGTTCTTCCCTCTACTGATATAAAAATCAAGATAGGCCTCCTAGCACTTGGGGAGGCCAAGGCAGATAGAACACCTGAGGTCAGGAGTTCAAGACCAGCCTGGCCTACATGGTGAAATCCTGTCTCTACTAAAAATACAAAAATTAGCTGGGTGTGGTCATGGGCGCCTATAATCCCAGCTACTCTGGAAGCTGAGGCAGGAGAATTGCTTGAACCCAGTGGGCGGAGGTTGCAGTGAGCCAAGATCACGCCACTTCATTCCAGCCTTGGCGACAAGAGTGAAATCTGTCTCCAAAAAAAAAAAAAAAAAAAAATTCAAGATAACCTTTAGAAAGGCCAAAATCAGAGTTGCACAATCCAAGTTCTAGAGCCTATGCACTTTATTAATTAGCTAGTCCTCCAAAAGCTCAATGATCTACTTGGTTTCATCTTATACATATTAACAACAGATTTGGTTTTCTAAGGACATATCCTGGATGGGCCACTTACTAGCTTAATGCCCTTAGACAAGAAGTTACTTTACTGTCTGAGCCTGGGTTTTTTCATTCGAAAAATGAGGATAAACAGCTACACCTCAAGACTGTTGTTAAGGATTACAGATAGTTATGTAATGCACCAACAGAGTCTGGCACTTAGAAGTACAATAAGTGTAACCAATATCATAATTACAGGAATTGTAAGCCAATTGCAAATTGATCAGAAAAGTCAAATTACAAAAAAATTGAGGGACAGGAGCAAAGAGACTAAAGACAGCTATAGCCGGGCGCGGTGGCTCACGCCTGTAATCCCAGCACTTTGGGCGGCCGAGGCGGGCGGATCACGAGGTCAGGAGATCAAGACCATCCTGGCTAACACGGTGAAACCCCGTCTGTACTAAAAATACAAAAAATTAGCTGGGCATGGTGGTGGGCGCCTGTAGTCCCAGCTACTCAGGAGGCTGAGGCAGGAGAATGGCGTGAACTCAGGAGGCGGAGCTTGCAGTGAGCAGAAGTCGTGCCACTGCACTCCAGCCTGGGCAACAGAGCGAGACTCTGTCTCAAAAAAAAAAAAAAAAGGCAGCTATAACAATAAATAGCTGGCAGCAAGAAAACAATCAAGAAACTACACAGACACAAAAACTCAGAAACTACAGACTGAAGCCAACAGCCCACACACTTCAATAGCTGTTGAGGACATCACTAATGTTTTTATAAGATGTAACAATGATGTGCCTGAAGATGACATTAAGCCCTTTAAAACAGATTAAACTTTTATTCCATGTGTTTAAAAAAAAAGATAAGCACATAATTGACTTGGGAAAGATTCCTATCAAAAGCGATTTAGCATCACAAATTTAACACGTTGGATATCTAAACTTTAATTAACTGCAAAACTCCAGTACCAAGCTTCTGTTATACTTAATATGTAAAGGAACCTCCCGAATTTCAGACGCCATTTTTTCTACTAAACACTGAAAAAGATGTATTTCAAACACATTAATTATGAAATACTTAAATGCAATGGCCTAAGGCATCATCAGTTTCTTAATAGCTAAAACAAGATAAAGTTTGGTCTCCCTCATTGCTAAATGTTTTTAGATCTACCAAAGAGACACAGACATGTGCCATAGAAATCCCTTTTCACTTGTATTTTCTCCCTACATTTGGAAGGCGGTAAAAAGCGAAAAACATCTGTTTCTTCCTGTAATGCTGACAACCCTCATTCTATGGTTTAAAAATAAAAGATGCTTATGGAAGCTTATAGATATAATGATCACCTGCTTCAAAGGCAGCTGGCAATTAATTGATCCAAATACATGCAAAATTAAGGCCAAAAAGAAATTTCCCTAAGGACAATGCCAGTGTTCCCCAAGCCTCTGGTAATTTCCAAGACACCCGTAAAAAAATAGCAGAGGAGAGTAAAGAAGCAAACGTAGTGGCAGATGACATGAAGAGTTGACAGCTGAGACACAAGGGCCTGTGTCAATCTGGATTCATTTGACCACCATAAGAACAGTTTCCATGAGAGCTGCTTAGAGAAAATCTGGTTCACTCTGGCCAACAATCACCCTTCATCCAGCTCAAGGAAGGCCAGATGTTCAACCATTAAAGGAGGACACCTTATTAAAAACAGGAACTGGAAAATCTAATTAAAGAAAGGCCCTAAATCTGATCACATTTTTTATAAACAGTTTTTACTCTCTATATGGCCTTAAAACATTGTATATCCAAACAGAAATAATAATGACATTAGACTTGATTCATTGACTCAGTTTCTATTTCTGGATCTGCCTCTGAATGAATCACAGTGTGACCTTGAGAAAGTTATTTCACCTCTTTCTCTATCTACATTTTCCCACCAGTTACAAAGTTAGGTAAAACCTACTGATCCTCTTTTCCTGAACAATGCTGAGTGAATGACATAAACATACGGAAGCTGCTACACAAAAATATATTTGCTGATTACCAACCAGCTGTATCCAACCATCAAATACAAAATAGGTGATGTCCTTATAAAAACGACTAGCTCTGCAATTTTACTTTGCACAATTTAAAAAACAAATCACCTGGAGAGGTCAACAAAACCCAGGTGGTTCCTATACAGGACTCTTTTAAGAGTCCCAAATTTCAAATTTGGGAATACTTAGCAAATTAAACTAAAATGCAAGTTCCAAGAAGACACTTGTTTTTTTAAAGGAAAACAAACATTCAACCTATTTAGGGTCTTGTGATCTTCCAGGACTCTGTTCAATCCTCCTCTCTCAAGTCCTCTTCCCTCACCCCTTGCCACCAAGCAGATAAGCCACTGCATCCGTGATGTTCCCAGCAGTGATTTGCATGTCTATATCTATACAGATATTTCTGTGCACTGCACTTATGTCATGTCTCCTCCTCACTAGTCAGCGAGCCTTAGAAAGGCAAAATCATGATTTAATGGTCTATGTATCACCTACATCTAGAATACTGCCTAGCACAGTGTGCTACTATTTAGAATACTGCCTAGCACAATGTGGCTGCTCAATGTGTGTGTGTGTGTGTGTGTGTGTATGCACATATATGCTTACAAATGTATATACATATATATATTTGCTAAATGAATGAAATAAATAAATTTCCAAAGTCTTATGCTAGTAGGAATAGCTATCATTAATATTAATGATTGATAATCATTATGGTGAATTATTTTCACTTTTCAAAAACTATATACGTGAATGTCACTTAGATAAAGAGAAAATATGTGATTTCTTACCAACATTAAATTCACAAAAATTAATGCAAAAACTTTCCAATCTTCTTCTATCAAAAGTGATCTTTCTTTTTTATTTGTTTTGCATTTTGTTTTTGTTTTTTTACAATTTATCTAGTGGGTATAAAACTACAAACATTCTTTTTAACAATCTACACAATAAAGAGAAGGTGGAAAAGAAGAAAAATAAGAGTATGTGAAATGAATGGAAGAAGCTACTTTTAAGGGTAAGACCCTATAAGGGCAAAATAAAAGGTGGCCCACAGATGAAAATTAAAATGTGGTCAATAAAAGTAGCTACCCCAATATTACCAGCATTTAGTCAACTAAGAAGTCGCTGTCTGTGCCGAGAAATTTCATCTAAGCAATGTTTTACAGATAATGTATTTATTAAAATAATAGAACATAAGATTTTAAAATTTTCAGATTGCATTTGAAATGTTTAATCCTTCAAATATTTATCATAAACCTATCAGTAGTCATGTAACTTTTCATATTTTTCGATTCATTAAATTCTAACACTCTATTTCATTTAATAATTAAGAATAGAGGTTAGGTAAACATGTTGGGCTCTTAAGGTAAGGCCTTGGGCCCTGTAAGCCTGTAAGCTAGGATAAACTCATTGGACTGCTTGACACTGACCAGAGCAAACATACTCTGGCTGTGCTTTATGCCGCCCTGGGTATGAGTCTATAACATATGCTAGGGAGGGGAGGTACCAGTTGGACTAGACGTGCTTTTGACCTTTCCACCTTCACTGTCTCCAAACTACAGGCTGTTCTGGGCTGGACCATGAAACTGAATGAAAATTATCCCTACTATTCTATTTATTTATTAATTTTCTAATAGCATGTATCGGATTTTCTTGCAGCAGCAAACAGCAGTGAGTGACCGCTTAACTTCACTAAGCAGCGGAACCCAGACTGCTGCAAGATAGAAACTACATATCACATACATACCAAACGTGGACAAATACACACAGCTATGAGAGCGGTCAGAGACTGCCTTTGGATCGTACCGGAATAAATGATTTGTGCCTCCAAAACCGACTCTTGCGAAAGAACCATGAACAATTTTTTTTCTTTTTAATGCTGTGGTGATGAAAAATGAAAGAGAAGAATGATGGTTTAGCTAACGAGACGAAAAAGGAGTTTATCTCCCTGGCGTGACCCGAAACTTTGTGAATAGCAGGTATTTTGGTGAAATGGGCAGAGCAACTTAGGACAGACACAACTAAGTTGTTCCCTTTAAGATCTTGTAAGAACACAGAAAACCAACAAGTATGTCCAAGTCATTTCACCGTGGGGGGTGAGCTCGCTGGGCGGAAAAGGATTCCCTACGGAGAAGAGATGTGCCACTACCAGGTCACCGCCTTCCAGAGCCCAGGGAGGGCGGGTGGCAGGGGAAGGCCCTGACTGACAGGCGACTTGAGACCCGGAGGCCAGCAGCAGGGCGCGCTCACCTGTGAACACGTTCTGGAAGCCATCCGCAGCCGCGGGGGCCCCAGACGCCTTGGCGGCCAGTGCTGGGGACACCCCACCGCCGCTGTCACTCGCCACCCCGCGCTCCAGCAGGTGCGCGGAGCCTCCCACCCGGGGCGTGCGGGCGCCTAGCTCCTCCGTCCAGTCAGCCGAGCGGCTCAGGCCGGCCGCAAGGCCGCCGTCGGCCCGGTGCTTCTTGGCCGGGGCGGCTACGGAGGCCAGGGCAGTTCTGGACCCTCGGCTCAGGGAGGGTTCCGGCCGCCTCTTGATCCTGGGGCTCTGATTAGGGGACTGAGACGGGGAGTGATTGGGCGAGCTGAGCTGCCGGGTGGTGGTCTTGATGTAGCAGGGGGTGATGAGCGGGTAGGGCTTGAAACAGCGCTGGCTAGGCGCGGGGCTGCCGGGCAGGGAAGCGGCCGCGGGGGCGTCAGGTCCTTGCGCCTCCTCCTCCGGCTCTTCCCCCAGCCTCTGCGGGGCGTCCTCTCCCACCTCCGGGGCCCACTCCTCCCCCGGAGAGCCCCGGGGCGCATCCTCAAAAGCATCCTCCTCACCCTCCTCATCCGTGTCCCCAGCCCCTCGCACGGGGGCTCCGGCCGCTTCCTCCCCCGGCCCGGCCTCGGGAAATGGGAAAGCCGTGGAGGAGGGCGAGTCTTTGGCCGCGGGTTGCGCTGCCGGGAGACTGGGCGCCTCGGAGACCGGGAGGCCGCCGGGGGACGGCGGTTGCTGGGGCTCCCGGGGCTCGGCGGCCAGGCTCTCGGGCAGGTCGGAGAGCGCGGACAGCGCCTGCTCGGTGTCCGGACTGCCCGGGGCCTCCCCAGCCCCGCCGCTCGGCCCCAGCAGGAACCGGTCCAGGCCCAGGAAGGCCCCGGGCTGAGGGGAGACGGCAGTGGGGGGCGCTGCAGGCTCCTCGGCGCCCTGGAGCTGCTGCTGCTGCTGCTGTTGCTGGAGCTGGAGCTGGAGCTGCTGCTGCTGCTGCTGCTGCAGGCGGATCGCCTGCTGGATGTCTGAAAGCAAATCCTCTTGCTCCGTAGCCGAATGGAAGCTATAGATGTCCGTGTCCGAGCCCGAGCTGGTCCTTTGTCCATCCTGCGCCCCTGCTGCAGTTTCCACATCCTCGGCGATCGGCCGGCCCCCGACCCTAGCCTCGGCAGGCCCAGGACCCCCTGGACCGGTCACCTCAAAAGGGTCCGCACACTCGGTATCCGACAGGCCGGCCTCGTCCGCCGAGAGGCTGAGGTCTGGAGTCTTGGTGAGCAGGGAGTGAGCGCTGTCCAGCTCCCCGGTCTGCAGGGCCTGGGAATCCAGTACATCTTCGCGGGAGCCGCCGGCGCCTTTCCCCTTGGACAGATTCTTCCTGATCCGCAGGTTGGAAAACACCGAGGCTCTGGAGTCGGACTTGCTCTTCTTCTTGCCCGACTCCCCGCCGCCGCCGCCGCCCCCTCCCCCCTTGCCGTGCTTGCCTAGCGCCTTCTTGCCCCCGCTCCCCTTCTTTGTGGCTTCCACATCCCTGGGCCCCAGCGCATCCTCGGCGCCACCGCCGCCTTCGTGCAAAGCATCACCTGCGCTCCTCTTCAGCTTCCCATCCTGGTTCCCCATGGTGCAATCCCGCTGCTGCGCCGCCGCGCCGCGGGCACTCAGGCCATCCCGGCCCTCCTCGGCCCCAGGTCCGGGCCTAGGGAGTCTCCCGGGAGAGTCAGGCGGCGGCGGGGGGAGCCGCTGGGAGGGGAGGCCGACGCGCGCCCGGCTGGCCCCGCTCGCATCTGCCGCCGCTTTGCATAATGCGCGGCGGCTCCCGTGGCTGCCGTCGCTGCGGCTGCGGCTGCGGCTAGGGGCCGGCGGGGCGCGAACATGCTCAGTGCAGAGCGCGGCGCCCACCAATGGCTGCGCAGAACGCAGCTCGGGCCTGGCTCCCCGCCCGCCGCCGCCGCCCCCTCTGCCCCCGCGCGGCTCCTCGCTGAACCTGGGCGCGAAAAACGTTTCCTCTATCTCGGGGACTTTAATCTCCACCGTGCGAATCGAATGCATTGTCCCCGACCGAAGAGATCGTCAGCTGGAAGATGCACTCTGATCTTCAAAGCTGCTGGACCTGCCAAGAGAAAAGTTAAATAAAAAAGAAGAAATTTTTACACGGAGAAAAACTGAAGCCCAATTCCAGTTTAGAGGTGCCATCGGGTCACAGCCACATACACAACCCCCTGTCTGCCTCTGCATGGCTGTTCAATAAATATTTGTTGAATGAATGGATTGTTCTGTTTCTTGAATAATTGATCATCTAATTGAACACTGTTAATGTGCTTGAGCATATGGTTTAGGAGAGGTTACTACACATGGTGCTGCTTTTATGTTTCACACACAGACCCTGCTTCTCCAGGAGAGGACATTAGCTGTCATTTATAAAATTGGTTTGTGATTTTTTTGTTGTTGTTGACAGAAGGAGAGGTAGGAGAAGTAGAAAATACTGAGATTAGTGTTGATTAAAATGCTAGTCTCCAAATTCTATGTGTTTACCATATAAATTAAACAGCATTTGTATTCAAAAAGGGTGCATATACGATAACTCCCAGGAGGTCAAACTCATCAATATTAAACATGTCACTATTGTGGCTGCCTATAAAAAGGAAAAAGACAGAAAGGAAACACCCTTGGCACAAACACACAAAATCAGATGTTATGCTATAAACTACCACTTTCCCAAGCAAACCCTTCCAGGCAGACTTCGTCCTGTAAAAGTTTCTTAACGTTCTGGCCACAATATGGGGATAAACATTTTTCCTCATTGAATATTTTGTCATTGTTTTCATTATTTATTAAATTTAGTTACCTATTTTTTAAGAATAGTTTTTTTAAAAAAATATGGATATCTAAAGCTTTAAGCAGTAAACTGAGATTAAAGTGGCATTAATAAGTTTTACAAGTATTTAAGTAAAAGTCATTGATAACCACTTTGAAAATATGGAATAGACATCCAACTTATTAATATTTTCAAAATAACCCAGAGGAGGGAGAAAAGCTATATATTATACTGTGCAACTTAAATGTAGCAAGCAAATGTGTAGTCTTCCTTTGCATATTATGAACCAGCCTTTAAAATTCTTTTTTAAAAAAGGTTGGTCTTGTAAGTCTTTGGTTACTAACCTTTTTCAAACTATGTTTTTAAAAATAAATGTAATTTAAGGGCAGTTAGCCAGTTATCCTTAGGTGGCCCTTTCGAGTAAATGCTTTAGAGAAATCAACTTTAATAACTTTGCCAGGGTTATATCCCAGTCTCCAAGCAATTCCGGAGTACATGAAAAGCCTTTGTTTCACCTCTTTCACAAGACTGCTCTCTCCTTTTTTCTAGAATCTAGGCTCCTCAGAGGGCACAATTTGCCTGCAGCTATTAGAATTTTCTGCTTCTTTGAGTGCTGAGGTACTTTGAATCTTGATTTTTGCTCTTTCTTTAGCAGAACGTCTTTGATTCTGAACTACTGATTTCCTTATTGTTTTCTTCTGTGCTATATTCTAGACGTTCAGAAGACAAAAGAAGGGAAAGAAGGAGGGAGGGAAAGAATTGATGATTTTTTTTCACAGTGACAGTTGTGCAGCAGGTCACAGCTGACAAATCTCTATTGCATGCAAAGGCTCATTTGAAATTCACAAGTGTGGGTATCAAATACACATAGGTGCTCTTAACTCAAGGATAATTGAAGCATGAGCTCAGGCTCAGAGAGGCTAAGAGATTTGTCCAAGATCACATAGCAGCAGAAAGAATACTGGAACCTGCAAATTTAGACCACAATTTTTTTATAACATAAAACACTGCATAGTTTACTCTTGGGGGACCGGTAAGGATATCATAAAGGCAAACTACAAAGCTTTGCCAAAGGGTTCTTGTTATTTAATAGCTATTTAGTATTCCTAAGGATGCCTGAAACATGGCCTAACCTTAATTCCATTTGATCAGGTAAGAATATCATATCTGTGGTTGCAAAACTAGATTTAACAGATAATTAGAGATATTACCTCACGCCTGGCCACATCCTGGTAGCAAGACACAGACGAGAAACAGCAAAAGTGACCAGCCTCTATATTGATGTATCTAGAGTAATTCTAGTGTAATTATCAATAAAAGTCTTCAGTGTTAGCATTCCAAAATGGTCACAAAAACTATTTTTATAAAATAAAGTACCACCCATTTTCCCACAAAGGAAATTGGATATGGGCTTTAAAAATTCAATTAGTAAAAGTAGGTTAGAAAACTCTAAACAAATATTGAACTCTAGCTGAGAATATGTATGCTGATGTAGTTGGCTTAAGTGTACTGATTTTGGCAACTTATTCTAAACTGCATCAAAAAATAAGATACTTTAACAGATGCATGGACAGATATGTGATAAAACAAATATAATAAAATGTTAATTATATAATTTACATGGTAGATATATGGGTGTTCACTGGGAGCTGCCTTCAACTTTACTGTATGTTTGAAACTTTCTCTTTTTTTTGAGACGGTCTCATTCTGTCACAGACTGCTGTAATATGATCACAGCTCATGCAGCCTAGAGCTCCTGGGCTCAAGTGATCCTCCCACCTCAGCCTCCTGAATAGCCAGGACTACAGGCATTTACCACCATACCCAGCCAATTTTTCAATTTGTTTTGTGGAGATGAGGTTTCCCTTTGTTGCCCAGGCTGGGCTTAAACTCCTGGGCTCGGGAGATCCTCCTGCCTTTGCCTCCCAAATTGCTAGGATTATAGGCATAAGCTACTACACCTGGACTGTTTGAAACTTTTCATGCTCAAATGTTGAAGAAGAAAGTGGGTTACAAGAATAGATGCGTGGCTGGGCACGGTGGCTCACGCCTGTAATCCCAGCACTTTGGGAGGCCGAGGCGGGCGGATCACAAGGTCAGGAGATCGAGACCATCCTGGCTAACACGGTGAAACCCCGTCTCTACTAAAAATACAAAAAAAAAACTAGCCGGGCGTGGTGGCGGGCGCCTGTAGTCCCAGCTTCTCCGGAGGCTGCGGCAGGAGAATGGCATGAACCATGGAGGCAGAGCTTTCCAGTGAGCCAAGATCATGCCACTGCACTCCAGCCTGGGCGACAGAGCAAGACTCCATCTCAAAAAAAAAAAAAAGAATACATGCATTTCCCAGATTTTTTGAAATTAAATTATGTAATGGTTGATAGCAATTAATAAATACTAAATGGCCAGGCGTGGTGGCTCACACCTGTAATCCCAGCACTTTGGGAGGCCGAAGCGGGCAGATCACAAGGTCAGGAGATCGAGACCATCCTGGCTAACACGGTGAAACCCCGTCTCTACTAAAAGTACAAAAAATTAGCCTCGCGTGGTGGCGGGCACCTGTAGTCCCAGCTACTAGGGAGGCTGAGGCAGGAGAATCGCTTGAACCTGGGAAGCAGAGCTTGCAGTGAGCGGAGATCGCACCACTGTACTCCAACCTGGGTGACAGAGTGAGATTCTGTCTCAAAGAAATAAAAATAAAAAAGATACTAAATGAATCTTCCTCTCCTTCACGATTACCTGTCTGTCAGAATTCCATTTCATTTCCTTTTCTCTCTTCTTCCAGCTCTCTTCCTCCTCATTTACCCTCTTAATTGACTATAAGATACACTGAAATGTTTCTGATACTTGGTGTTTTGCTCTGTTTTGTTAGTTTTTATTTCTGCTTAACCTTGGTGGAATGCTTTAGAATCTCTAATAGAACAATTAGTTTGCATCTTAATTATCCAACTCATCCATTTCTCTAGCAGGTGAATGACACTTTTTTGCCCTAGTGTCAATTACTAATCTTTTGCCCTCCAAAATCCACCTCTCAGTCCTGACTTCACTCCAACACACTCGACTCCTGAACCTACTTCCTAGAGAACACCATGCCTCCAGTCAAATCCAATGTCTCTGCAACTGAACTCATATTTTCTTTCATATCTGTTCTTCTTTTGTTTTTTCTTTGAGTAAGAGCGCTACAATCCCTCCAGTTTCCCAAACCAGTGTTGTTGCTTACTCCTTCCTCTTCCCCAGTCCCTATAATTTACCAGTCACGAAGACTTCTCTATTCTTTTTTCGTAATGTCTCTTAAATGCATTCATGTGTCCCACCCCAAGTGCCACTTCTCTTGCCTCCTTCCCACCCCCACCTCCAACTCTCATCTGCTCCTTCCCATTATCACCAATGCTTCTGGACTGGGGTGATGATTTTGCTCCCCAGGGAACATATGACACTGTCTGGAGACATTTTTGGTTGTCACAGTGGGGTAGGGGGATAATGTTACTGGCATCAAGGATGCTGCTCAACAGCCTCCCCCGACCACCGCGCCCCATAAGCAAGAATGATTCAGCCCATAATATCAGTAATCCCGTGGTGCAGACACTTGCTTTAGCATGAAGACTCTCACAGCTGACAGTCAATAAATGTTTACTGAAGGAGTGAAATAAATAAGAAATTAAAATTACATTTCTCAGTTAACTGAATTAAATCAGGAACTTAAAGGGAGAACCAGTTAACTGAATTAAATCAGGAACTTAAAGGGAGAACCAGTTAACTGAATTAAATCAGGAACTTAAAGGGAGAACCTAATGGAACAAATCAGATTTTAAATAGTCTATCTACAGTACCAAATATCTTAAATAGAGAATTAACTCTTCTCTAACGCACTCTAAGTTCTAAAAACTACACAATCTATATAAATATTTCAATTCCCAACATACTTGGTAACATTATAAAAAGTCCTTGCTCATACCAGAGATTTCCTGGTCACTAGAATGGAATTCCCAGAGCTCATTTTGCAGTGATGATTATGTGTATGACAAACAATTAGTTATATAGCTTTCCATTTGTACCACCATTATTCATTTTATCACCAATGCAGAACTTAAAGTGTTTATACAACAGAGAAAAAGTGAAATATTCCTCTCCCCAAGCAATACAGAATGCACTACAAGTTTGTTTCTACACTGGAAAAAATTTAAAGGTAAAAAATTCTAGGTCACTTAAGTTCCTCCCTGCTACAAATGAAACATAAAAGCCATTGTCTCCTAACCTCTGGAAAACTCACTAGCTTCCTCTGAAAAATTCCCTCTTCATTATATAGGCATACTTTCGCATTCAACGCGTATTAGCCAAAACGTTTATGGATAATTGGCAACCGAGAAACAAAAGAAGACATAAAAATATTTATTTTGTTCTTATGTCACAGAGAAATTCCTATGAAGCTAAAGAATTCTGGTATTGAATTTCTAGACATATATACCCTTTCTAAGTGAAGACATACCATTTCTGCCACTGTGCCCGGCTTTGATTCTCACTTTTTTCTGTGCCCAAATATTTTTCTTATCTATTTTGCTTGCCTTAATCCTTCTCACCTCCTTTTCATTTATTTTTATTTTTATTTTTTGAGATGGAGTCTCACCCTGTCGCCCAGGCTGGAGTGCAGTGGCGTGATCTTGGCTCACTGCAACCTCTGCCTCCCAGATTCAAGCGATTCTCCTGCCCCAGCCTCCCGAGTAGCTGGGATTACAGGCACCCGCCACCACGCCCGGCTAATTTTTGTATTTTTAGTAGAGATGGGATTTTACCACGTTGGTCAGCCTGGTCTCAAACTCCTGACCTCCTCCTGACCTCGTGAGCCGCCTACCTCGGCCTCCCAAAGTGCTGGGATTACAGGCGTGAGCCACCGCGCCCTGCCTTTCACCTCCATTTTTATCATGAATTTCAGCTTCTCCAAGAGGCCTCCTTTAAAGTAGGTTATTTCCCTGTCTTAGAGCATCTGTCTTAACCTTCAAATTCTTGATCACAATTGTAATTATATGTTTGATTATTGACTTGTTCATTGTCTGTCTTGGCTCTTACCCATTACAATGCAAGTTCCCTGAGGGCGGGAAGCAAGTGTGCTTTATCACCACCATCACCTGCTGGCAAAGCGCTTAGAACTCAAATATTCTCAATGAATCACGAACAAAATCAGGAGTAAAACAAATAGGTCAGGCTTCAAGCAATGCTTTTGAAGCCCTCTTTCTATTTTTTTTTTTTTGAGACGGAGTCTCGTTCTGTCACCCAGACTGGAGTGCAGTGGCGCCATCTTGGCTCACTGCAACCTCTGCCTCCCGGGTTCATGCAATTCTCCTGCCTCAGCCTCCCGTGTAGCTGGGATTACAGGCACACACCACCACGCCTGGCTGATTTTTTTTTTTTGTATTTTTAGTAGAGACAGGGTTTCACTATATTGGCCACACTGGTCTCGAACTCCTGACCTCGTGATCCTCCCACCTTGGCCTCCCAAAGTGCTAGGAGCCACCCAGGCGTGAGCCACCGTGCCCGGCCTCTAAGCCCTCTTTCAAGTTATTTTGTTTTGTTTTGTTTTGGAGACGGAGTTTCACTCTGTCACCGAGGCTGGAGTGAAGTGGCATGATCTCGGCTCACTGCAAGCTCTGCCCGCTGGGTTCAAGTGATTCTCCTGCCTCAGCCTCCTGAATAGCTGGGATTATAGGCACCCCCTCCATCACACTTGGCTAGCTTTTGTATTTATTTTTAGTAGAGATGGTATTTCATCATTTTGGCTAGGCTGGTCTCGAACTCCTGACCTCGGGTGATCCACCTGCCTCGGCCTCCCAAAGTGCTGAGATTACAGGTGTGAGCCACTGTGCTTGGCCTCAGGTTCTTTAAATATTGAAGGGAGTTGGCACTTTGTGGGAGTTAAGATAACATATCTTAGAGACTAGCGGGCTGCTTTGTACCAAGGGCTTGAGCTGTACCCACCCACCCACTTCCATCCCTACAGCTGAGATTGATTAGTTGGACGCTCTCTAAGCCATTGTTGCCTGAGGCCCATAAAACTATTGCCTCGATGAAGGCAAGTTAGCCGACCCTGAGCCTTTCTCCCCAGGAATCCCGGAATCAACAACTCTAGGATGTCTAAAGACAGGAAATTTTAAATTGTAAAAAAGACAACCCAATTGCTCAATTGCTCTTTTTATTTTTATTGTCATTTAAAAATCTTATATTTAATTGTTTTTTATCTGCCATAAATGAAGTCCCAGGAGCTTTAGTGGAGCAGAGGAAGAAACAGCTAGAAGATGTTTCCTTGGCTAGGAAGTGCCTGAAAGACTAGATGAGCACTAAAGCACTAAAGAGTTGCAGCAACCTTTCATGTGTTGTCTGAGCAAGGAGAGGCAGACTTCCAAATTAGTTTTCTTATCCTCCCCTCCTAATCTCTGAGTGAAAGATTTAAAGTGTTGTCATAGGTACTGATAAATTAATCCCAGTAAGCAAGTAATACAATCACCTTTCCCTTAGACTCTGGTGACAGATTTTGTTTGTTTGTTTGTTTGTTTGTTTTGAGACGGAGTCTGGCTCTGTCTCCCAGGCTGGAGTGCAGTGGCACGATATTGGCTCCCTGCAACCTCTGCCTCCTGGGTTTTAGCGATTCTCCTGCCTCAGCCTCATGAGTAGCTGGGATTACAGGCGCACACCTCCACACCTAGCTAATTTTTCTATTTTTAGTAGAGACCGGGTTTTGCCATGTTGGCCAGGCTGGTCTCAAACTCTTGACATCTGCCCGCCACAGCTGCCCAAAGCGCTGGGATTATAGGTGTGAGCCAGCCAGCATGGCAGACAGATGTTTCTATACCACTACGAGAAACACTAGCTATGTTATGGATGGTAAAATTGTCTGGCCGGGCATGGGTGGCTCACGCCTGTAAAACCAACACTTTGGGAGGCTGAGTTCGAGACCAGCCATGGCGAAACCCTGTCTTTACTAAAAGTACAAAAATCAGCCTGGAGTAGTGGTGGGCGCCTGTAATCCCAGCTGCTTGGGAGGCTGAGGCAGGAGAATTGCTTGAACCCAAGAGGTGGAGGTTGCAGTGAGCCGAGATCACGCCATTGCACTCCAGCCTAGACGACAGAACGAGACTCCCTCTCAAAAAAAAAAAATTCCCTTCCTAGTGATCACCTTTATACAAATGAAGCTCCAATAAAGATGTGTGAAATCAAATTTCCCACTAGCCTTCTCCTGCTCTTCTGAGGAAAATGAAGCTGATGCAAAGCTCCTCTTTGAAGGTACCGCTTTGCATTGCACAAAAACCCAACAACCAGCCATTTCCTAGTGAAGTCTACATTATCTGAGGGCAGTTCCCTGGAAAGATCTGCAGTGAGAGATGTGAGTTTAAAACTCCCTTTCTGATCAGAACAAGTTTCCCCTAATGCCTGTGCAGAAGTGCAAAGGATGAAGGCATTTGTTTTATAGTGAGCAAGCAAGCCATTGCCCCTAACTGAAACATTTGTATTTTCTACTTCACCTTTTTCTGGCCTTTTTCCATATGGTGATAACTGCATTGGCTCTTACATTCTAAGAGAAAGTGCTGATGCTTAGAATTCAAAGTGTGTGTGTGTGTGTGTGTGTGTGTGTGTGTATATATACTTTTATATGTATATACTTTTATATATATACTTTATATATATGCTTTATATATATACTTTATATATATATACTTTATATATATATACTTTATATATATATACTTTATATATATATACTTTATATATATATACTTTATATATATATACTTTATATGTATATACTTTATATATATATACTTTATATGTATATACTTTATATATATATACTTTATATGTATATATTTTATATATATATACTTTATATGTATATATTTTATATATATATACTTTATATATATATATTTTATATATATATATACTTTATATATATATATATTATATATATATATATATATATATATATATATATATATATATATATACACACTCTTTCTCTCGCTGTCTGAGGTTTCAGTGAGCCGAGATCGTGCCACTTCACTCCAGCCTGGGTGAAAGAGCGAAACTCCATCTCTAAAAACCAGAAGATTTTAGGGAGCAGTGTGATTTAAATCAATATTAAGAGCGTCTTCATCATGCATTAAAATATGCATGGACAAACTAATGTCTATTAGGAAAAATGTGTAGGCCAGTTGTTATTGGTGTTATTCTCAGCTTACTGAAAAATCCATGTATTTGGCCAGCTTTTTGTGGGGAGCCTTTATTTTACTAGTTAAGGCAGAAAAAAAGATTACTGAGCCCAGAATGCTCACCAGAATATGCTTGCCTCTCTTCTGTACATATTTATACCGTCAGAGGCATTTGAACCACAGCAACTCCATCTTGAGTGGGGGCTGGGTAAAATAAGACTGAGACCTACTGGGCTGCATTCCCAGCCAGTTAGGCATTCTAAGTCACAGGATGAGATAGGCTGGCACAAGATACAGGTCATAAAGATCTTGATGCTAAAACAAGTTGCAGTAAAGAAGCTGGCCAAATCCCACCAAACCCAAGATGGCGACAAGAGTGACCTCTGGGCATCCTCACTCCAAACTCCCACCAGCGCCATGGCAACGTCAGGAAGTTGTCCTATGGTCTACAAAGGGAAGATATGAATAATTCCCCCTCTTGTTTAGCATATAATCAGGAAATAACCATAAAAATGTGCAACCTGCAGCCCTCGGTAGTGCTTTGCCTATGGGGTAGCCTTTCTTTATTCCTTTACTTTCTTTACAAACTTGCTTTCACTTTACTCCATGGACTAGCACCAAATTCTTTCTTGCCCGAGAACCCACTTTTGGGGGCTGGATCAGGACCCCTTTCTGGTAACAATACAACAATCAGCTTTTCTCCTTCCCTTCCCATGGTCCTTTCTGTTGTGTAAATTTTTCTTTTTTCTTTTTCTTTTATTTATTTTATTTTTTTGAGGTGGGAGTCTAACTCTGTTACCCAGGCTGGAGTGCAGTGGTGCAATCTCAGCTTGCTGCAACCTCTGCCTTTGAGTAGCTGGGACCACAGTTATGCACCACCACACCTGACTAATTTTTTATATTTTGGTACAGACAGGGTTTTATTACGTTGCCCAGTCTGGCCTCAAACTCCTGAGCTCAAGTGATCTGCCCACCTCAGCCTCCCAAAGTGCTGGGATTACAGGTGTGAGCCACCATGCCCTGCCCTGTTGGAACGTAAATTCTTTATTTTAGTGGTGGCAAGCTCTGTCAAAAGCAAAGACTTAGTTCTGCTAAATCTCTATTAAACTGAATAACTGAAAAAAGTTTTGGAAATTTTTTTCCACAGTGTATTGTTAAATAAGAAATTTTGTGCCTGCATGTGAAAACCTATGGTGCTTTTGTATGTATTTACATATAACTTTCATTTTAAGTGCATCAAAACACATAATACTGTTTTAGAACTCAATAACATAGTTGGGATCAGTCATTGCAGGTTCTAAGTGTTGCTCAAGAAGCTTTGAAAAATCTAAGGCTAAAGTTCCAGGGTCCAAAGCAGTAGTCGTTAGCCGTATGTGGTCATCAAGCAATAGATGAGCTTTAGATGAGCACTAAAGCGTTAAAGAAATAGGGCCAATCCGGCCGGGCTCGGTGGCTCACGCCTGTAATCCCAGCACTTTGGGAGCCCGAGGCAGGCAGATCACCTGAGGTCAGGAGTTCGAGACCAGCCTGGCCAACACGGTGAAACCCCGTCTCTACTAAAATATACAAAAATTAGCCGGGCGTGTTGGCAGGTGACTTAATCCCCGCTACTTGGGAGGCAGAGGCAGGAGAATCATTTGAACCCAGGAGGCAGAGGTTGGTTGTAGTGAGCCGATATCAAGCAATTGCACTCAAACCTGGGGGATAAGAGTGAGACTTCTCTCAAAAAAAAAAAAAAAAAAAAAAAGGGCCAATCTGAATGGAAATGTTGCTGTTAGTGTAAAATATATACCAATCTCAAACACTTAGGACAAAAGCATGTAATGTATCTCAATAATTTTTATCGATTTTTCAAATAAAAATACTTTGCATATTTTGGGTTAAATATAGTATTAAACTTAATTATATTCGTTTCTTTGTCCCTTTTTAAATATGGCTACTAGAAAATCTTGAATTATGCATGAGGTTCATATTATATAGCATTTCTGTTGCAGAGCACTTCTCTAAGGCCAAGGATAGCCTTCCTCAACCTTAATTTCTTATTGATTTTGTCTTTAGAACTCCTCTTGCAACTTCTTGCCACTGGAAAAGGTTATTATGGGTTGAGTCAATTTCAGTGGCCTTCTATAGGTAATCCTGAATATTTTTCACAACTCACTTAAGAGATCCTGAGGGTATGGTAACATACAGTCACAACTGTAAGCAGGAGGATGGCTTGAGCCCAGGAGTTGAGACCAACCTGGGTAACATGGTGAGACCGAGTCTCTACTGGGGGGTGGAGGTGAGGGGAGGGGGGTGGGAGGGGGTTGGGGAATGGGTGGCAAAAGCCTGTGGTCCCAGCTACTCAGGAGGCTGAGGCAGGAGGATCACTTGAGCCTGGGAGGTCAAGGTTGTAGTAAGCTGGGATCAAGCCACTGCACTCCAGCCTAGGCAACAGGGTGAAATCCTGTCTCAAAAACAACAACAAAGCAAAACACCAAACAAACAAAAAAATAGGAAGCCATGTAGTTTATTGATAAGGGCAAATGGTAACATAGTTTTATGCATTAGAATCTATCATCCTACTTTCACACCATCTACAATCCTGGGAAGTCTGTTAATATTTTTATACTTCCATTTATCACCAATTTTCAATATAACAGAATGGAGCATTATATAATATCTTTTAAGAACTATTTGATTCTTGCAATTATTTATGTAGCTAGGGTGTGAGCCAAGCAGTGGTGTGGAATGCGGAAACAGAGGTTAATGGATCACCTTGGGAGCATCTTCACACTGAACAGGTGGGGCTCTTGTTCTCTTCACACTTCCCCTGCCACCATGTTTCTGATAGGTATCCAGCTTCCATTCTTTTTCTGTCCCCCAAAATCACTATAAAAATGTCTATTTAAACCATTTGCTACTTCTTCTCTCATCATTCTACCATAATAAATTAAATCCCCCCCACCTACCTTTTTTTTGAGACAGGGTCTCACTCTGTCACCCAGACTGGAATGCAGTGGCATGATCACAGCTGACTGCAGCTTCTACCTCCTGGGCTCAAGTGACTCTCTCACCTCAGCCTACTTAGTAGCTAGGAGTACAGGTGCAGGCCACCACGCCTGGCTAATTTTTTTGCTTTTTGTAGAGATGAGTATCTCAATATGTTGGCCAGGCTGGTCTTGAACTCATGGCCTCAAGCAATCCTCTTGCCTCAGCCTCACAAAGTGCAGCATGAGCCACTGCTCCCATCTGCCTTTTTTAGTGATACTTTTTAAAAGTAGCTTGGAAGAGTGTAGGGAGAATTGGCCTCAGAGAAAGTGAGTTCAAATCTTGACTTTGCCATTTATTGCCTGAGTGATTTTGAACAAATCACTTAATCTCTGCAAGGTTCAATTTCCTCATCTGTGAAAGAAGTATAATGGCAGTGTATTAGTCCATTTTCATGCTGCTGATAAAGACATACCCAAGACTGGGCAATTTACAAAAGAAAGAAGTTTAAAGGACTTACAGTTCTATGTGGCTGGGGAGGCCTCACAATCATGCTGGAAGGTGAAAGTCACATCTCACATGGTGGCAGACAAGAGAAGAGAACTTGTGCAGGGAAACTCCCCTTTTAAAACCACCAGATCATGTGAGACTTATTCACTGTCACAAGAACAGCAGGGGAAAAATCTGACCCCATGATTCAATTACCTCCCACCGGGTTCCTCTCACAACATGTGGGAATTTAAGATGAGATTTGGGTGGGGAACGCAGCCAAACCATATAATTTTGCCCCTTGCCCCTCCCAAATCTCATATCCTCACATTTCAAAACCAATCATGCCTTCCCAATAGTCCCCCAGGGTCTTAACTCATTTCAGCATTAACTCACAAGTCCACAGTCCAAAGTCTCATCTGAGACAAAGCAAGTCCCTTCTGCCTATGAGCTTATAAAATCAAGAGCAAGTTAGTTACTTTCTAGATACAATGGGGGTACAGGCACTGGGTAAATACAGCCATTCCAAATGGGAGAAATTGGCCAAAACAAAGGGGCTACAGGCCCCAGGTAAGTCCAAAATCCAGCAGGGCAGTCAAATCTTAAAGCTCCAAAATTATCTCCTTTGACTGCATGTCTCACATCCGGGTCATGCTGATGCAAGAGGTGGGTTCCCATGGTCTTGGGCAGCTCCACCCCGTGGCTTTGCAGGGTACAGCCTCCCTCCTGGCTGCTTTCATGGGCTGGCTTTGAGTGTCTGTGACATTTCCAGGCACATGGTGCAAGCTGTCAGTGGATCTACCACGCTGGGGTCTGGAGGACAGTGGCCCTCTTCTCACAGCTCCACTAGGCAGTGCCCCAGTAGGGACTCTGTGTGGGGGCTCCGACCCCACATTTCCCTTCCACACTACCCTAGCAGAGGTTTTCCATGAGGGCCTCGCCCCTGCAGCAAACTTCTGCCTGGTCATCCAGGCATTTCCATACATCCTCTGAAATCTAGGCAGACGTTCTCAAACCCCAATTCTTGACTTCGGTGCACTCGCAGGCTCAACACCACGTGGAAGCTGCCAAGGCTTGGGGCTTGCACCCTCTGAAACCATGGCTCGACCTCTGCATTGGCCCCTTTCAGCCGTGGCTGGAGCAGGGCACCAAGTCCCTAGGCTGCACACAGCACGGGGACCTGGGGCCTGACCCATGAAACCATTTTTCCTTTCCAAGGCCTCCAGGCCTGTGATGGGAGGGGCTGCTATGAAGACCTCTGAAACACCCTGGAAACATTTTCACCATTGTCTTGGGGATAACATTTGACTTCTTGTTACTTATGCAAATTTCTGCAGCCTGCTTGAATTCTCCCCAGAAAATGGGATTTTCTTTTCTACCTCATTGTCAGGCTGTAAATTTTCCAAACTTTTATGCTCTGCTTTCCTTTTAAAACTGAATGCCTTTAACAGCACCCAAGTCGCCTCTTGAATGCTTTGCTGCTTAGAAATTTCTTCTGCCAGATACCCTAAACCATCTCTCTCAAGTTCAAAGTTCCACAAATCTCTAGAGCAAGGCAAAATGCCACCAGTCTCTTTGCTAAAACAGAGTAAAAGTCACCTTTGCTGCGGTTGCTAACAAGTTCCTCATCTCCACCTGAGACCACCTCAGCCTTGATTTCATTGTCCATATCATTATCAGCATTTTAAGCAAAGCCATTCAACAAGTTTCTAGGGAGTTCCAAACTTTCCCACATTTTTCTGTCTTCTTCTGAGCCCTCCAAACTGTTTTTTTTTTCTTTTCTTTTTGAGATACAGTTTCACTCTTATTGCCCAGGCTGGAGTGCAATGGTGCGATCTCAGCTCACCGCAATCTCTGCTTTCCGGGTTCAAGCAATTCTTCTGCCACAGCCTCCTGAGTATCTGGGATTACAGGTATGCACCACCACACCCAGCTAATTTTTGTATTTTTAGTAGAGACAGGGTTTCTCCATGTTGGTCCGGCTGGTCTCGAACTCCTGATCTCAGGTGATCTGCCTGCCTCAGCCTCCCAAAGTGCTGGGATTACAGGCATGAGCCACCATGCCTGGCCTCCAAACTGTTTTAAACTCTGCCTGTCACCCAGTTCCAAAGTCACTTCCACATTTTCAGGTATCTTTTCGGCAGTGCCCCACTCTACTGGTACCAATTTACTGTATTAATCTGTTTTCATGCTGCTGATAAAGATATACCTGAGACTGGGCAATTTACAAAAGAAAGAAGTTTAATGGACTTACATTCCACATGGCTGGGGAGGCCTCACAATCATGGTGGAAGGTGAAAGGCACATCTCACATGGCATCAGACAAGAGAAGAGAATTTGTGCGGGAAACTCCCCTCTGAAACCCTCAGATCTTGTGAGACTTATTCACTATCACACAAGAACAGTATGGGAAAAACCTGCCTCCATGATTAAATTACCTCCCACTGGATCCCCCCAACAACATGTGGGAATTTAAGATGATATTTGAGTGGCAACACAGCCAAACCATATCAGGCAGCTACTTTATAAGATCATTGCAAGGATTTAATTAGACAATGTATGCAAATGACCTCACACATATTAAATGCTCAATAAATGTTAAACAACGGAAATAAGAGCCAGTTATGTAACCGAAATATCTCAAGGCCTCTATAGCCAAAGCACCTGGAAAGACAGAAAGGCAGAATCGTTAATTCATCAAGACTGAGGAAGCTTGCCAGGTGTGAGAAGCTAGACATTCTCAAGCTTTGTTGCTAAGTGTACTGAACTGTCATCTTTTCTACCAAGACCCTCTACTTATGCCATCCTCATATGAGTGCCAAGGAGTAAGTGTTTTTCTGATTGATCCGGGGTTTTCCTGCCTCTACATGCTGATTTCATCCACCACAGCCTTCAAGATGTGGGCTAGGAAACATTGAGCCCAAGCCAGTGTGCCTAGGACTTCTAACCATGAATGGAAGAGGCCTATAGACCTCACCAGAAGCAGATGCCAGCAGCATGCTTTTTGTATAGCCTACAGAACAGTGAGCCAAATAAACCCCTTCTCTTTATAAATTACCAAGCCTTGGCTGGGTGCAGTGGTGCACGCCTGTAATCCCAGCACTTTGGGAGGCCAAGGCCAGTGGATCACTTGAGGTCAGGAATTCTCGACCAGCCTGACTAATATGGTGAAACCCCGTCTGTACTAAATACAAAAAAAATTAGCCAGGTGTGATGGCACATGCCTATAATCTGAGCTACATGGGAGGCTGAGACGGGAAAATCACTTGTACCTGGGAGGTGGAGGTTGCGGTGAGCCGAGATTGGGCCATTGCACTCCAGCCTGGGCAACAAGAGCGAAAGTCCGTCTCAAAATAAATAAATAAATAAAATAAAAATAAATAAATTACTGAGCCTCAGGTATTCCTTTATAGCAACACAAAACAGATTAAGACACCTGATACCCCTGACCAGACTACATCTGGCAGGTTCCTCAGACTACATTTTCTGACCATGATCTAGTGGTAAAAAATCAATAGTTTTAGTGAATGGATAAGCAAAATGTGGACTAGCCATGCAACAGAATACTCTTTATTGATTTAAAAAAAAGTACTGATACATGCTGCCACATAAATAAACCTCAAAGACATTATGGTAAGTTAAGAAGTAGGAAAAAAATACCATATCTTACATGATTTCATTTATATTAAATGACCAGGAAAGGCAAATCTGTAGAGACAGAAAGTAAACTCACGTTGCCTAGGGCTGGGCGCAGGAATGGGGCATGACTTTCATGTGGCGGGAATGGAAATATTCTAAAATGAGATTGTGGTGATGGTTATGTCAGAGGTGTTAGAACCAGAGTGACTCCATCTTTAACAGGGGCTGGGTAAAGTGAGGCTGAGACCTGCCGGGCTGCATTCACAGGAGGGAAGGCATTCTTGGTCACAGGATTAGATAGAAATGTAGCATAAGACACAGGTCACGAAGCCCACTAATAAAACAGGATGCAGTAAAGAAGCCAGCCCAAACCTACCAAAACCAAGATGCCAAAAAACAGTGGTCTCTGGTCATCCTCACTGCTCGTTTTACACTAATTATAATGCATTAGCATGCTAAGAGACATTCCTGCCAGCACCATGACAATTTACAAATGCCACGGCAATGTCTGGAAGCTACCCTATGTGGTCTAAAAGGAAGAGGAACCCTCAGTTCTGGGAAATCCCCTTTCTCAGAAAACTCATGAATATCTGCCACTTGTTTAGCATATGATTGAGAAATAATCACAAAAATGGATAACCAGCAGCCCTTGAGGCTGCTCTGCCTATGGAGTAGCCATTCTTTTATTCCTTTACTTTCTCAATAAATCTGCTTTCGGTTTACTCTGTGGACTCACCCCAAATTATTTCTTGCATGAGTTCCAAGACCCCATTTCCAGTAACAACTGAATTAGAACAGGTGAAGTTATGATATGTAAATTATACCTCCCCAAAATTGTTAATAAAAAAAGTATTTAAAAAATCAATAGTGCTCACTTTGGGCCTGGTTTAGAGGCAGTAATTTCCTAATGAGAAATGGCCTGAACCCTGTTGCTGTTCAGCCTTGGCCTGATGTCCAAATTCAGCTCAGCTCTTGGGTCCAAAAAGAAACCCGAAATGGATTCCAGGGATGACTATTTCAAAGTCATATTGGCCGGGACTGCTTAGGAATGAGCTTGTCTCACTAAACAAGATAAGCAAGGAAAGGGCCTCGCTTCTGAATTTAATTGTCATATTTTATTGACAGGAACTGGTCAGCTGTTGTATACATTACGAATTTCGTATCCTCAGCTCCCCAAAACCTTAATATTTATTTTTAAGAAGGGATGAGCTAAAGAGAATAAAAATGTTTTTCAAAATTGCTAAGCTGCATAATAGACCACAAATGTACTAAGTGCCAGTAGGAGTGGCAGGAACCATCAAACATCTCAGTATCCAGCAAGGAAACTTTTCTTAATTGGTTATTTACCTCTCTTCTTTACTGGTCTGAAATATATACTGGAAAGAAAATAGCGGAGTGGGAAACTAAATCCGAACCCAGTTTTTACTATTTTCTAATTCAGTTTAGAAAATCCATTTTCCAATTCAAAGTGCTGGGATTAACGCCTATAATCCCAGCATTTTGGGAGGCCGAGGCAGGTAGATCACTTGAGGTCAGGAGTCTGAGACCAGCCTGGCCAACATGGTGAAATCTCATCTCTACTAAAAATACAAAAATTAGCCAGGTGTGATAATGTGCACCTGTAATCCCAATTACTTGGGAGGCTGAGCCACAAGAATTCCTTGAACCAGGGAGCTGGAGGCTGCAGTGAGATGAGATCGTGCCACTGCACTCTAGCCTGCGCGACAGAGACTCTGTCTCAAAAAAAGAAAATCATCAGAACTACTTTCTCTATCTCTGGTCTGTCTCTTGCTGCTACTTGTCTCCCTGTATCTGCAACCTCCTGTTTCCTTCTGTTCACTAACCAGCATGTACGTGGCCTGCGATAGCTGAGCAAGGCTGAGTTCTACCTAACTTCACAGTCAAGTACTCAGTCATGTTTGACTCATCCCAACTGTGGACTGTTCTACCAATTTCAAGTGTCCACCCAGACCCAACCTGCTGAGGTCGGGAGAGAAGGAAGACATCGGCCCACAATTGTAGGCGGAATGATGGCCCCTAAAGATGTCTATGTCAGAATCCCTAGAACCTGTAAATAAACATGTTACATGGCAGTGGGGAATGAAGGTTGCAGATGAAATTAAGGTTGCTAATTAGCTGATCTTGAGATGGGGAGAGTGTCCTGGATTATCCAGGTAGGCCCAGTGGAATCACAAAGGTCTTTTAAATGTGAAAGAGGGAGGAAGGAGAGTTGGAGTAAGAAAAACGGGGAGGCAAAAGCCGAGGTCAGAGTGATATGAGGAAAGAGCTGTGAGCCAAGGAATGCATAAAGCCCCTGGAGGCTGGAAAAGGCAGGGAAGCAGATTTTCCCTAAGAGCCTCTAGAAGGAGCACAGCCCTGCTGACATTTGGATTTTAAGACTTCTGACCTCCAGATCTGTGTGATAATGCAGTTGTGTTATTTGAAACCACTAAGTATGTGGTAATTTGTTACAGCATCATTAGAACATGAACGCAGTGTTTTAAAAAATGAATATTCTATTCTAAAATGAGTATATATTTCTTTATTCTTTCTTTCTTTCTTTTTTTTTTTTTGAGACAGAGTCTCACTCTGTTGCCCAGGCTGGAGTGCAGTGGCTTGATCTTGGCTCACGGCAACCTCTGCCTCCTGGGTTCAAGCCATTGTCCTGTCTCAGCCCCCCGAGTAGCTGGGATTACAGGCCTGTGCCAACACATCTGGCTAATTTTTCTGTGTTTAGTAGAGACGGCGTTTCACCATGTTGCCCAGGCTGGTCTCGCAGTCCTGACCTCAGGTGATCCGCCTGCCTTGGCCTCCCAAAGTGCTGGGATTACAGGAGCACCCGGCCATGAATATATATTTCTAATCCACTGAATAGGTTATCTTCAGAACAACTTCAATGTTAGCTCTCAGGCCTTGCTCATTAGCAAATTTTACATCTATAAACACAGGAAAAAGTCTTATTGAGAGACTACTGGAAAAGGTGCTGCTTGTCTTGTTTTCCTGTGCTGGACAAGAGAATCTTGACTGCAATTGTGAATTTGCAGAACAGCTAATCAGACATCTATATAAAATCATACACAAAGTGGTTTGTCAATTTGAGATATTCAAATGACGACAAGGATTGAATTGAAACTGAGTCACTCTAAGGAATCAGAACCTCAACTACTTACTTAACAATGAACTTCTAGAGAATAGATAATAGGTAGGCTTCGTTAAAGTGAAATCACCTTTGCAAAAAATACAACAGTGAGAAAATTATGGCAATGAAAGAGATCTGACCAATCCCCATCTTGTGTTTAATCTCCAAACTGTCTTTAATTAGTCCCAGGCTTGGTCCATGCTAACTTTCGGGAAATTTAGTTTACAGTTTAAATGATAATAGCCCTTCTCCAAAACTAAACTACCTTTGTAGAACTAATGAAAGACCACCAGGTTAGGAGGATGAGAGGAGCCTGAATTCTGCTAAAGTGTAGACAGAAATGATTCTTGCCATTATCCTGGAGGTCACAAGACTTGTAGATTCCCCAATTATTCTACTATTGCAGAACCTAAGGTTGGCCTTTTGAGATGTCTTCAGGTTTTTGCATTTCTGATGACCAATGACTCCACCCATACCACCAACCAGTCCTGTGTCCCTACCTAGAAGCAGATTCAGCAGGCCTGAGGACCATTTTTGCACCTCTGTGATTGTATCCCCAACCAATGAGTAGCACACATTCCCTTGCCTGTTGAACTATCCTTGAAAAGCCCTAGCCTCTGAATTTTGAGGGAAGCTGATTTGCATAATAATAAAATTCCAGTCTCTCTTGAGCCATCTCATGTGTAAGACTCTTTCTCTATTGCAATTCCTCTATCTTCATACATCAGCTGTATCTGGGCAGCAGGCAAGAAGAACTCACTGGGTGGTTCCATTAGTGCCCAATCTTTTACTAAGAGGTTTAGTCTACTCAAATTCTGTTTTTGGTTTTAATGGTGATATTCTATCTCTGCCCTCAGCCTAACTATAATACATCCCCAAATCCACTTGCCTACTTGACATTTCCTATAGGTTGACTTAAAGACATATCAAATCCAACATGTTCAAGATAATCTATCAACTGTGGCCATCCTACCTCCAGCCTCCTGTTCTAATATCCTTTATTCCCCAATTTGTGGGATTATCAATTAGAGAAACAAGAAAATCATTCAAAACGCTTTTTATTTTAAAACAAATTTTTTTAGAGACAAGGTCTCCTTATGTTGCCCAGGCTAGACTCAAACTCCTGGGCTCAAGTGATCCTCCCACTGCAGCCTTCCAGGTAGCTGGGACTACAGGCATGCACCACCATACCCAGCTCGAAAAGCTTTTTTTGTCTTTTTTTTTTTTTGTCATTGTTTTAATTCCTAAACATGTCTTGAATTTGCTCTCTCCTTCCCATTCTCCTTGCCACTGTCACAGCCATAGTTGAGTTCAAAGCCCTCAGCTTCTCTCTCCAGGACCACTGCTAGAGCTCCCTCATTAATCTACCTCAAGGCATGCACAGCTTGAATCCCTTCCAGGCTACAGAAAATAAAATTCTAACATGCAGATCTAACACCTTACTACTCCTCTGTAAGATGACTCCATTACTTTCTGATATGGTTTGGATCTGTGTCCCCACCAACTCTCATGTGGAATTGTAACCCCCAGTGTTGGAGGTGGAGCCTGGTGGGAGATGATTGGATCACGGGGGTGGTTTCTCATGAATGGTTTATTCCCACCCCCTTGGTACTGTCCTCACAATAGTGAGTTTGTTGTTTTGACCAGATCATTTTAAATGACCAGATCTGGCACCTCCGCCTCCCTCTCTCTTCCTCCTGCTCCAGCCACGTGAAGTGCCCACTCCTACTTTGTCTTCCGCCATGATTGTAAATTTCCTGAGGCCTCCCCAGAAGCTGAGAAAGTGCCAACACCGTCCTTCCTGTTCAGCCCTGCACCAATTAAACATATTTTCTTCATAAATTACCCAGTCTCAGGTATTTCTTCGTAGCAATGAAAGAATGAACTAAAACACCCCATCACCTGTTTAGACATAAAGCCCTTAATGATCTAACCCCCAACCCTTTGGTTTCATGCTGGCATTGCACATATGTGACTGCTTTCCCAGCATTTTAGAACACAGCCCAATTTCCATGTGGAAATCAATGTGCTTCTGGGGAAGCTGACTCCACCCCTGCCCAGTATCTGGAGTGGAATATATGACTTAGCACAGAAATACTATTTTAAGAATGGACATGTGACCTTTGCTAATCAAATCAGAATGGACAGGACAATTGCTGGAAATGCTTACATAAATGTTCTGGATGGTGTAGTAAATGGACAAGAGGCCTAGAGTTCCAGACCTCAATTCTCTTTCCAGGAGACAGGCCAACCAAGGACAAATCTTGCCTCTGTGGGGCAAACTTGTTCCCTACCATAAAATCATGAACCTTTTTAAAAATAAAATGGCCGGGCGTGGTGGCTCAAGCCTGTAATTCCAGCACTTTGGGAGGCCGAGGCGGGCGGATCACGAGGTCAGGAGATGGAGACCATCCTGGCTACCACGGTGAAACCCCGTCTCTACTAAAAAATACAAAAAATTAGCCGAGCACGGTGGCGGGCGCCTGTAGTCCCAGCTACTCGGGAGGCTGAGGCAGGAGAATCGCTTGAACCCGGGAGGCGGAGCTTGCAGTGAGCCGAGATTGCACCACTGCACTCCAGCCTGGGCGACAAGAGCAAAAACTCCGTCAAAAAAAAAAAAAAAAAAGAAAAGAAATATATATATATATATTCCAGGCGCAGTGGCACATGCTTCTCATCCCAGTTAAGGCAGGAGGACTGCTTGAGACCAGGAGTTCAAACCCACCCTGTCTAAGGGTTATGACAAGCCCTTACCTCTATTTTTAAAATAATTTTTTTTAAAAAAAGATAGAAGACATAGGAGAAAACTTATATGACCTTGGGTTTAGTCACAAAAAATTTATGACTGTGAGTTTTTAGGTATAACTGCAAAATTACATTCCATGAAAGAAAAAAATTGATGTTATACTTCATTAAAATTAAAAACTTCTCTGTAAAAACATTGTTAGGAAAATCTAAAGACAAGTGACAGACAGCAAGAAAATATTTACCAAACTCATATCTGATAAAGGAGTTGTATCCAAAAATACAAAGGACTCTTAAAATGCAACAATATGAAAATAGCCCAGTTAAAAAATGGGCCAAAAAATCTGGATACCTCACCAAAGAAGATACATGGATGGCAAATAAGCATGTGAAAAAGATGCTTATCATTTGTTTTCAGGAAATCACAAATTAAAATAACAAGGAGGTACCATTACATACCTATTAGAATGGCTAAAATCGAAAACACTGACAACCCCAAATACTGACAAGCATGCGAAGCAACAGGAACTGTCACCCACCGTAGGCGGGAATTCAAATGTGGCACAGCCGTTTTGGAAGCCAGTTTGGCAGTCTCTTACAAAGCTAAGTGTAGTCTCACCATATGATCCAAGGAATCTTATTTATCCAATTGATTTGAAAACAGATATTCACATAAAATTCTGCAAAAGTTTAGAGACAGTAAAATGATCAGTAGTTGCCAGGGGTTCTGGGAATCGGGGGTGTGGCAGATAAACAGGTGGAGCGCAGGGGATTTTTAGGAGAAGTGGAATGTGTTTTATTTTACTATAAGTCAAAATCTATAACCCTACCTTGTAACTTTACATTCTAGTACTAACAAGCTAGTATTCTTCTATGAGCACTTTATTCACTATTCGTGTATCCATTCATTCACTCAATAAATGATTACTGCGTACTCTACAACACATAGGGCACTATTCTGTGCCAAACTCTTCTATATTCTTTGGACACTTCATTCCCTATTGGCATTTCTTATGTGAGTATCTTCTATGACTGAATAGTTCACCATATAATATAATTATTTGTTTACCTCTCTTCTCTATGCTTTTAGAGTTGGAGGCCACCGTTACTAAAATTATCTTGTAAAGTATAATTACCAATCAGAGAAAACCTTGTCCAACACACAGGATTCAAAGAAACACACTTTCAATATCTAATTTGTGTGGGCCTATGAAACATGTAAAATACCAAAGGGTTTTAGTAAGGTTCAGAGATGTTTACATTTAAAAGGTAAACATTAATTTATCTTAAGAGCCAGTCTTGCAAAATCTAATCAAAGGACCAATTTGATAGACTATAGGGATCTCTAAGAGACTCCAGAGTTAGGTGATAAGTGTAACTGAAATCCAGGGACTTGGCCTACCTCTTGAAGCTGTGGAGTCATTGACATGCAACTATAAATGAAGTTGAGAGTTATGGATGATAATGTAGCAGCCCAACCAACTCTCCCATGAACAGAGACAGTAACTTTTTTCTTGCTTTTTTGGGTTCTTGCAACTCTTTCATGCTCATACTCACTCTCTTTCTTTTAATTTAATAGATAATTTTTTGAAGCCATTTTAGGTTAACAGCAATACTGAATACAAAATACAGAGAGTTCCCAATATAACCCCTGGTCCCCCAACCTTCTTTGCTGTCAACATCCTGTACCACAATGGTGAATCAATGAACCTGCCTTGACACGTCGAACTGTCTTGAAGCATCTTTTCAGTTTCAGGACAAATCTAAATGTGTAGGAGAATCAAAGCCATACTATTAATATATCTGTGTTAAGGAATTTGCAAGAATTCCTTTCTTATTTATTCTAACGTGTAACATAAGATGGCCCACTAGATCTTCTATAAATCTAAAATGAGAGGTGGATTAATTGATTTAGACTTGTGATTTTAAGTTAAATCTTCCTGAGTTGGAACATGGATATGAACTTCACTGTAATTATAAGTTCAATGTATTACATTTATAAGAATTATCTAGCACTCAGAGAGGTTTTGTTTATTAGGTCAAAATACTTTTGAAGGAAATGGAATATACTACATTTGTAAATGCAGCTTAAGGTTTAAAGAAATAAAATTTGTAAATGAGGCCAAGACTTAACAATAACAAGCTCTGTGGAAGTGACATTGAACAATGACAATAAGATAAGAATACAATATTATATTACGCACTTAAAAACTTTGGGAAGAACTAGGATTTTGAATTTGTAACTTTAGTAGATTGAACATTAATTTTAAAAAATCTCAGTAGACTTTTTGGTATACACAAAATTGCCTCTGAGGCAAAATAAAACAAAACCCCTTATATTTTATGTCCTCTTTTTCTAGAGTTAATCAACCACACATTTAATCTTTCCAATTTCTTCTAGAATTGTATACATCAATATATGGCTTGGGGTTTTGGGGGACATTTATTTCTTTTTTGCCATACAGTAAAAACCGAGAGTACGGGGACAACCGCTTATCTATATTTGATTTTGTAATGTCTGGAATGGTGCTTTGGCACAAAGTAGGTGCTCAATAAATTCTGACTAAACACAATACGAAGTTTCAGGTAAAAGTGAGATAGCAGAGTGTGACAAAATGCTTCAAATTTACACTTACTCACTATTAAGGTAGCTGGATCAAAGCAAATTGCCTCCCTCTACAGGCATCTTCAAGATGATCTGAAACAAGATTACCATTTCGGTCAAATCTCAAAATGGAAAAATCCAATAATGGTTCATCTCTGTTTCCCATCTGTTCTTGTGTCAGTTCAATTCTGCAGTAGTTGCTGTTGGTCCTTTATGTCCCATCCTGAGTAGCGCTGATGCTTCTGGGTTCATTGACACTTGGTTGTTTCTAGTTCTTCATTTCACACATTAACTGTCCTAGTGAAAAGAACTTGGAAACAAAAAACTTGAGCTCAAAGCCTGATTCCAGCCGGGCACGGGGGTTCACGCCTGTAATCCCAGCACTGTGGGAGGCTAAGGTGGGTGGATCACCTGAGGTCAGGAGTTCAAGACCAGCCTGACCAACATGGTGAAACCCCATCTCTACTAAAAATACAAAATTAGCCAGGCATGTTGGCACATGCCTGTAATCCCAGCTACTCGGGAGGCTGAGGCAGGAGAATCGCTTGACCCCGGGAGGCAGAGGTTGCAGTGAGCCGAGACCCGGCCACTGTACTCCAGCCTGGGCAACAAGAGCGAAACTCCATCAAAAAAAAAAAAAAAAAGCCTGATTCTGTCAAAAGCCAAATAGACTGCACCATGTATGCAGCCCAGGCCAGTGGCTTCCCCTGTAGCAGGACAAGCCACAGACAAAACCCCTCAGACACTGAGTTAAAGAACTAAGGGCTTTATTCAGCCGGGAGCTTTAGCAAGACTCACGTCTCCAACAACCGAGCTCCCCGAGTGAGCAATTCCTGTCCCTTTTAAGGGCTCACAACTCTAAGGGGGTCTGCGTGACAGGGTCGTGATCGATTGAGCAAGCAGAGGGTACGTGACTGGGGGCTGCATGCACCGGTAATCAGAACTGAACAGAACAGGACAGGGATTTTCACAGTGCTTTTCCATACAATGTCTGTAATCTATAGATAACATAACCGATTAGGTCAGGGGTCCATCTTTAACTACCAGGCCCAGGGCGCGTTGCCGGGCTGTCTGCCTGTGGATTTCATTTCTCCCTTTTAGTTTTTACTTCTTCTTTCTTTGGAGGCAGAAATTGGGCATAAGACAATATGAGGTGTGGTCTCCTCCCTTACCCCTTTCTGAATATCCTTTCTCTTGACAGTGATAGGAAAGATATTAGTATCTGCTTTATAGCATTTCTGTGTTTATAAAATGCAATATTCATTTATAAGTTTGGAAAAACTACACAAATGAAAGACATGCTGTATGGCCATAACAGCTATTTCTCTCATTTGTCATGATGGTGCCTTCTAGATTTATTCTACTTCAAGTGTTTGTAGCCCAAAAGGGCTGGCCTCACCTGGGAGCTTGTTAAATATGCAGAATCTCAGGTCTCACCACATCAAACCTACTGAATCAGAGGCTACATTTTAAGAAGGTCTCAGATTATGGTTTGAGAAGCACGTTCTGCATAGAACTGAAGGTATATTAATTTCTTATTGCTGCTGTAAGTCACCACACAACTGTATTACCTTACAGTTCTGGAGGTCAGAAGACCTAAAATCAAGGGGTCAACAAGACTGTGTTCTTTCTTGGGGCTCTAGGGAAGAACTGATTTCCTTACCGTTTGTGTATTCCAAAGGCCACCTGCATTCCTTGCTTGTATCACCTTTCTTCCTTCACTCTGCCCACTGCTTCCATCTTCAGATCTCCTCTAACTCTGAGTTTCCTTTCCATTGTTCTCTAATAAAGACCCTTCTGATTATATCGAGTCTACCTGGACTATCCAAGATAAACTTCCCACCTCAAAATCCTTAAATTTTAAACATTTCTATAAAAGTCCCTTTTGTCATGTGAGGCAACAGGTTCACAGATTCTAGGGGTTAGGATATGGATATCTTTGAAGGTAATTTTTCTGTCTACCACACATACTGTGTGATTAAGCTTAGCTCAATTTCTCAGAAGCGCTTTTCAGAACAGTAGCAGCAGAATGACATGCCCTTATTCATTCATTCTTTCATGCAATCATTGTATTTTTAGAGTGGCAGGGCCTAAATGCTGTCCAACAATTAATCTGTGTTCTCTTTGTCATCACTTTCTTCCATTCTCACCACCCCAAATTCCACCCTCTTCAACTTGCCCACTCCACTATTTCTACTTTTAGTCTCCTACTTGGCCTCCTACTTCACAGAGCAATTACAAACCATCAGACGAGAATGTCCTCAACTTCTTGACATTTTCTCTATTCTCATTTACTTATTCAGCAAATATATATTCAGTGTCAAACTATGGACAAAGCACTGCCCTAGGTTTTCAGATAAAATTGTCATAGGTCTCATGGAGTTGACATTCTACTTGAGAAGAGGTCAAAAGAGAAATAAGGAGGGAAGGAGGGAGGAAGAGAAGGGGAAATATCAGACAGTGAAAAACGCCATGCTGAGAATATGTAATAATGGACTAGGTAGCTATAAAGAGAGTGTGGGCCAGCATGGTGGCTCATGTCTGTAATCCTAGCACTTTGGGAGGCCAAGGCACTTGAGCCCAGGAATTTGAGGAGCCCAGGAGTTCAAGACCAAAATTTATAATTTTTAAAAAATAAAAAAATTAGCTGGTCATGGTGGCATGCACCTGTGGTTCCAACTACATGGGAGGCTGAGGCAGTAGGATCACTTGAGCCCAGGAGGTCAAGGCTGCAATGAGTCGTGTTTGTGTCACTGTACTCCAGCCTAGGTAAGAGAGCAAGACCCTGCCTCAAGAAAATAACCAAAAAAAACAAAAGAAACAACAACAACAAAAAGGGCTCCTGGGAAGGTTCATCAGGAATTATTTTCTTGATCCTAAACTTCCATAGATATTATTTTCTAAAATTAATCTGAGAATATGCTTCAAGGTCAAAATATTCTCCTTTTCTTTCCTACTCCCCTCCCCTCCCACTTTCATAATTGCTCTTTTCTTTCTTTAGAAAAGAAAGCATCATTCTCACCCAACCTAAATCTTAATATGTTGCCTTGCCTTCAGGGTATAACACCTCTGGTGTGCCAAATAAGAGACAATTATAAATATTGGTGGTAGTGTTGGCAATTGTATGTGGAAATAAACAAAGAATACCCAAATAAGAACAAACAGAAGGTATTGATTCAGAGCCTGCCCTGACAAGGGACTCAGCCACCATCACTTCCCTCTGGCAGAGACTCAAAGGTAAGCAGAGGAGTGGGAAAGCTTTATACTGGAAAAAAAAAAAAAAAAAAAAAAAAAAAAAGAAGGCTTCCAGAGTGCTCTGACTGGGGAACTGGGGAGGCTGATGACATGGGGCATCTTACGTGCCTGGTTTCAGGAGCATACAGGGTCCTTCAAAGTTCATGGAAAATGTGTACTATGAAAAAACTATGGATTTCAAAAATTGCTTTCACCAAAATAAACTCATAGTAACTTTTTGTAACATGTCTGAACGGGGGCTGGTTGGACACACTAAGGATAAGGCATCAGTTTGAAAAGAGCCTCTATCAGAGCCACATGAATTCTGCTAAAATTGAAGCAAGAGCAAACATTAAGTGTTGAGTGGGAAAACTGGGAAAAGTGTTGAGTGGGAAAAACTGATGCTTTATGAAAAGTTTACGGGGACAATGCACCAAAGAAATCAGCAGTTTACAAATGGATAACTCATTTTAAGAAGCAAGGAGGCGGCCGGGCGTGGTGGCTCACACCTGTAATCCCAGCGCTTTGGGAGGCTGAGCTGGGTGGATCACAGGGTCAAAAGATCAAGACCAGCCTGGCCAACATGGTGAAACCCCGTCTCTACTAAAAATACAAAAATTAACTGTGTGTGGTGACATGCGCCTGTAGTCCCAGCTACTTGGGAGGCTGAGGCAGGAGAATCCCTTGAACCCGGGAGGCGGAGGTTGCAGCGAGCTGAGATGGTGCCACTGCACTCCAGCCTGGTGACAGAGCGAGACTCCGTCTCAAAAAAAGAAAAAAAAAAGAAGAAGCGAGGAGACAACATCGGAGCTGAAGGCCACAGCAGCAGACCATCCACATCAGTTTGTGAGGAAAGAATTTATCTTGTTCATGCCCTGATGGTTGACATCAGAAAAAAATAGCCAAGACCATGGACATCTCAATTGGTTCAGCTTCACAATTCTGACGGAAAATTAAATTTGAGCAAACTTTTCACTCAACGTTGCCGAAGCCTTTGTGCCCAGATCAGCTGCAGACAAGAACAGAGCTTTCAACTGAAACGTTAAACAAGTGAAATCAAGATCCTAAAGCATCTCCTCAAAGAATTGTAACAGGAGATGAAACACGGCTTTACCGATATGATCCTGAAGACAAGGCACCATCAAAGCAATGGATATCCAGCAGTGGTAGTGACCCAGTCAAAGCAAAAGCAGGGGCTGGGAGTGGTGGCTCACGCCTATAGTCCCAGCTACTAGGAAGGCCAAGGTGGGAAGATTGCTTGAGCCCAGGAGCTAAAGACCAGCCTGGGCAACGTAATGAGACCCTGTCTCTGTTATATAATTTCTTAAAAAATAAAATAAATAAAAAAGCAAAACCAGTCAAGCACAAAGGTCATGGCAACAGTTTTTTGGGATGCTCCAGGCATTTTGCTTATTGACTTCATGGAGGTCCAAAGAATGATAACATCTGCTTATTATAAGCATGTTTTGAGAAAGTTAGCCAAAGCTTTAGCAGAAAAATTCCCAAGAAAGCTTCACCAGAGAGTCCTTCTCCACCATGACGATGCCAATGCTCACTTCTTCTCATCAAACAAGGGCAATTTTGCCACAGTTTCAATGGGAAATCTTTAGACATCCACCTTCCAGTCCTGATTTGGCTCCCTCTGACTTCTTTATGTTTGCTAATTTTAAAAACATATTTAAAGGGCATTCATTCTTCTTCAGTTAATAATGTAACAAAGATTGCATTGATACGGTTAAACTTCTAGGACCCTTAGTTCTTTAGGGATGGACTAAATGGTTGGTATCATCACTTACAAATGTGTCTTAAACTTGATGAAACATACATTGAGAAATACAATTTATATATTTTTTAAATCTTTTATTTCAATTTTCCATGAACTTTCTGAAGTCCTCTTGTGTTTAGCTTTCTCTGGTTGGTCCTGAGTTGGATGGGGTCAAGGAGAGAGGGAATAGGGAGGGAAGCTGGCAGTCATTGACCATTCAACAGCCCTGAATGTTCTGAGTCAATGCTACAGAGGTTGTGGTTTGGTTGACATCCTGGACTGGTTGCTTCAGAGGTTGTGGGTCAGTTGTCATCCAGGGTCTGGCCATTGTCTGTTTGTTTATTCTGTCTCTCATGAAAACTTTTGTCTCTAAGGCTCTGCTCACCTTTAGACGTTCATTTCAGCATAGCACAGTTCCTCTTTCCCCACCTCCAATCCACACCGCCATTAGAAACTCCAAATATACTGACGGATTTATTTACTGTTTTTTTGTTTGTTTGTTTGTTTTTAATGTGCTGTCTACTTCTTCTCGTCTCTGGGGTTGCCATTAAAGCTGTCTGGAAAACTTTTCTGCTCCCCTCCGCCACCCTTGCATTCCGTGCTAAGTTCTACCCAACTTCAGATTGCAGGTTAGAAGTCACTTCATCCAAGAGCTCATCCGGGACCCTTCAAATTTCTCGAATATGCTCTCAGAGCCCCTAACCTTGGCTTCAATGATCACATTTATCACATGTTGTGGCTCAGAAACCAATACCCAACCAATACCCCAAAATATAGCACTTTGACATGTTGAACTGAAGAAGAAGTCTCAAAGTCTATCTGATCTTCCCTGTTCCCCTCTGGCCCCAGGTCTGTCTCTCAGTCCTCTGTCTCTCCCAAAGGATGAGGTTGTTCTCCTTATCCACCTAAAGTCTGGACCTCTCGTCCCTTCCCTGAGTTTTCGTCACTGAACTCATTGCTGGAAGAATGACTGAAGTCTGTCAACACATCTGGACACATTTTCGTCACGAACCATTGTCTGCTCTGCGGGCCCCACAGACAATGTTCCAGACCATTGTATGTGATTCAAGCCCATTAAATTCTCCGAAAAAATCACTTACTACCCCATTAAAATCATCCATACTTCCCCATCTCCCTTTCACCTAAGAAGAAGGGTAAATAAGCATCTATCGCCACTGCATAATGGGGATTTCCCTCTTGTGGCATGCTAATAAATTTGTATACCATTTCTCTCTCTCTGTTTTTTTTTTTTTTTTTTTTTTTTTGAGACAGGGTCTCACTCTATTGCCCAGGCTGGAGTGCAATGGCACAATCACAGTTCACTGTAGCCTTGGCCTCCAGGGCCTGGGTGATCCTCCCACCTCAGCCACTTGAGTAGCTGGGACCACAGGCATGCACCACCATGTCCAGCTAAATTTTTTTTTTTTTTTTTGAGACTGAGTCTCACTCTGTCACCCAGGCTGGAGTGCAGTGGCACGATCTCAGCACACTGCAACCTCTGCTTCCCAGGTTCAAGCAATTCTCCTGCCTTAGCCTCCTGAGTAGCTGGGATTACAGGCACGTGCCACCATGCCCAGCTACTTTTTGTATATTTTGTAAAGACAGGGTTTCGCCATGTTGGTCAGGCTGGTCTCCAACTCCTGACCTCGTGATCCACCTGCCTTGGCCTCCAAAGTGCTGGAATTACAGGCGTGAGCCGCCACACCCAGCCTGCCCAGCTAAATTTTGTAACTTTTTTTTTGTAGAGATGGGGTCTTGCCATGTTGTCCAGGCTGGTATTACAGGCATGAGCCACCACGCCTGGCCTCTCCTATTAATTCGACTTTTGTCAGCTGATTTTCAGTGAACCTTCAGAGGGCAAAAAGGAAGTATTATGGTGGCCTTTACACATATTTCAAAGTGTTTGCCTATTTGCTTGCCTGTCTCTCTCCTCTAGATTTCATACCTCTGAGGATAGGGCAGTGTCTTATTTACTATTATATCTCTAGGACCCCACGCAGTGCCTGGCGCATAGTGGGTATGCCTTAAATGAATTGATATATCTCCCATTTGCATTGTACTAATGGTGAACTGACAAGAAAAGCTAATATATTCTTATGGCCCCTACCTCCAGCAATTCTATATAAGAAGGTAGCAGGAAAACAAATACACAGAGAGAGAAAAGACGATATGGTTGACCCCAAGAAAGTTCAGTGGCCAAAAATCTAAGTGCAATAGAAGTTTAGAGAGAGAGGATGTCCCGCTTGATGGAATGGTTGGAGGAGACTGAATGAGGAGCTTAAACCTCCACATTTTCTCCTCACTACTTTTACAGTTCAGGACAAAAGGCACTTTTTGAGCCCTTGGGCAAGGCAGGGAACAATTTATTTAGTGTCGGTCTTTTCCCAGACTGGGAGCCATCATTCCCAAGAGGAGTTTGGCAGTCTGTCCTCTGACCTTCATTTACAAGGAGTCCAAAGCTTATAATTACTATTGATTGCTGTTATTTTTGCCTTTAGTTTATATCTGATCACAATGAACAAAGACAGATACAGAATTTCAGATTTTGGAAACTGTATAGAAGCCTGCAACAAGTGGATGACAAAGAGGTCCTCCAAAAGCTAGTTTGCTAGTTGCTCTAGTTGAAAAATATATAATAGTGTCTGCTTTCAAAAAGATTTAAAGACATACAATTTCTTTCAAGTCTTTTTTTTTTCTTTTGAGACAGAATCTTGCTCTGTCACCCAGGCTGGAGTGCAGTGGCGCGATCTTTGTTCACTGCAACCTCCGCCTACCAGGTTCGAGTGATTCTCCTGCCTCAGCCTCCCGAGTAGCTGGGACTACAGGCACGGGCCACCACGCCCGGCTAATTTTTGTATTTGTAGTAGAGACGGGGCTTTACCATGTTGGTCAGGCTGGTCTCAAACTCCTGACCTCAGGCGATCCACCCACCTTGGCCTCCCAAAGTGCTGGGATTACAGGCGTGAGCCACCGTGCCTGGACCCTCAAGTCTCATATACCATACAAAGCGAAACAACTGAAGGAGTCTAAGAATCAGGAAGCGTTATGCTTAAACACAGTTTTAAAAAGACTTTCAGAATGTTGACCTGGCACTTTTATAAAAAAGTTCAAATTTCCTGATAGTAGCGCTTACTGTTACTATTTATTTATTTATTTTTGAGACAAAGTCTGGCTCAGGCTGGAGTTCAGTGGAGTGATCAGCAGTCATTCCACCTTGGCCTCTCAAGTAGCTGGGACTACAGGCATGTGCCACCATGCCCAGCTAATTTTTAATGTGTTTGTGTGTGTGTGTGTGTGTGTGTGTGTGTGTGGAGAAGGGGTCTCACTATGATGCCCAGGCTGATCTTAAACTCCTGGGCTCAAGCAATCCTCCTGCCTTGGCCTCCCAAAGCGTTGGAATTACAGGCGTGAGCCACTGCACCCGGCAAGTAGTGCTTATGAAAATACCATAACAAAGATGTAATTTCCCACATGCGAGGAACAATTTTGGTTCTGCTATCACTGTTCCCTTTGACCATCAGGCAAGAGTATGACTCCCGCTCATGTTGGCCTTATTTACTTCAAAGTAAATGTTAGGTGTGTTTATTTAACCTATATTGCTGTGAATTCCCTGACTATTCCTGTTCAAAAAAGGAATTCAGAAAATAATAAGGTTTCAGATGAAATCTTTCAAGGAAGAAAAGAGAATTGCTGTACATGAGCAGAAACAGCTAAGAGTATAGCATGCCGACACAAATAGGAACGCTTACAAGACTAGAAAGCCTTCTGGGGAAATGATTTGGGAGACTGTGGTAAGGAGGTTTATGAATGTTCGTGGGAGGCAGCTCCGAGCATAAAGGTCAATAAAAAACAAGGGATGGAGTTTGGGAGTGGGTGAGGAAGACAAAGAGCGCAGTCAGAAGATGGGCTTGGACAGAGTAGCCGGCGAGCTGCATGTAGGAGGGTAGAGGGTGAGAAATGCACTCAGATGCCAATAGAATCAGCTCTATATGACGCAGGAGATGCCAAGAAAAGAATGCAAATAAGAATGTAGCAAAACATGGGTGAAATTGTTGGAGCAGGTGGTCTCTCGCTAAAGAGGAAGGGGTAGGGGGAAGCAGTGGGAGTGAAGTGGGGAATATGTCACCATACTTACAATGCACAAAAATGAAATGTGTACATTGATTTTGTAAGATCAAGGCTGTGTATTCTTTCTTCTAAGAGACACTGTCACCGAGGCTAGAGTGCAATGTCACAGCTCACTGCAGCCTTGAGCTCTTGGGTTCAAGCAATCTTCCTGCCTCAGCCTCCTGAGTAGGTAGAACTATAGGCACATGCTACCACACCTGGCTAACGATTTGAGTTTTTGTAAAAACAAGTGTCTTGCTTATTGCCCAGGCTGGTCTTGAACTCCTAGCCTCAAGTGATCCCCTGGCCTTGACCTCCCAAAGCGCTGTCATTACGGGCATGAGCCACTGCTTCTTGCCAATGCTAAAGGTGTTTAAGAAGAGCAGTCAATTAATTTATAATGTTGAAGAAATATCACAAAGTTTGCAAATGAGAAGCACAAGGATTATTTTTTAATGCCAGTAATAAGTTGGATGAGATTGAAGGCGTTACTAAAGACTGAAAAACCATATCAAGAGAGAAGAAGAATTGTATACAAATAAATAGAGGAAATATGGTAGCATATGCTATGTAGTAATTTTGGAATATATGAAATATATTAGTTGAACTGAAACGGTTAAAATTATAATTATTTTGCATATCTGTGCAGCACACATTTAGGTTTGACAAATACAACATGGGAATATTAAATATGCTTTGGTATCAAAATACAAAGAAGTCCATTATAGTTAACTAAATATGTCTTGCTAAAAATTATAATGCAAATGAGCGTTCTTCATCGCTTTGACTGCAGGATCGGATATATATATAGATAATTCATATTCAAAATCTCAAATGCAGCCACCTGAGTGGATAAGAAGAGAAGTAAATATTAGTTCTCCTCTCAATTTATTTGCTTATGAAGAACGAGGCTGAAAATATTGAATACATTTTTATTTTTCTACTGTGCTTTTAAAAGGGAGTTAGTTTAAGAGCCTAAGGGGTTGAAAAAAATATATTGACTGGAAACAAATAGAGATATTTTTTCCTGGAAAACGTATGTCATAATTTATAAAACAAGTATTGGGTTTTTTTGTTTGTTTGTTTTACAATGCTGTGAAAGCTTACATTCAGCTGATAGTGTTTAATAAGTGTCGTTTTCAGACGTTATTATAGTGTGCTGATAATCTTGGCAAAATTCATGAGAACTGTTTAAATGAAACAAATGACAGAGATGATTGTGAGTTCTTGAAAACACGTTTTTGGGAGGGAGCTAAGTGTTTAAATCTCTTCAGTGAGCTCTTCTCCTAGCAGCTTGGCAGTTGCTACCTTGGATGTGTTAGAGACAGATGCTGAAGCCAACTCATGGTTAATGACCTTATTCAAGGTCACTGAATAAATCGGTTTCAGTCCTAGGGCTAGACTTCTAACCACAGAGCCATTATGTGCAGCCTGTCTCCTGAGCTGTGTTGCCATTAATTGACCCTTTAAATACGTTGGGTTTTCAAATCTCATTTAAAAATTCAACGTGATGAAACCATAAAAATGGACTCTCCCTCTCTCTCCCTCTCTCTTTCTCTCTCTGTCTCTCTTTCTCTCTCTCTCACACACACACACACACATAATTTATCTACTTTGCAGCATTGTTTAGGGCTGAGTGAAAATCCAGAAGCTTTCAGATCCAGACAAATCCAGCTTATAGAAATGTGTTGTTTGGCCAACAGAATGTACTCACTTTGGTTTTAAATTAGCTGTCAACATTTAGAAATTGGGAGTTTGGTGTAGTTGGCTTCCTGACTTCTTTTTAACAATTTAAAGATCTGGGGACATTGGTTTGTCTTTTCAAATGGTAAAAATCCCCTGCAGCTGGGTAGCACAAACCCTTTTAAACGGGCATAATTCATCACCATCTCCACTTGGGGGCCTCTTCATAATTTACATTAAGTGTCCAGCCTCTGTAGGCATGTGATCTGGGAGGGACCTAATTATTTGACCAGATTAGAAACATTCAATAGTTTCCAGGCCATTTTCCAGGGTATGCCAGTCAAAGCCTTCATAATAGATCTTCAATTTATCTTTCCATCTTACCTTTCTGCATTCCCCACCACCATCTTTCTGTTTCCATTCCTGAATATAAAAGTACACTTGAGTATAAAGTATACTGTCTTTATCTAAGGTACTCACTGTGTCCTAAGTACAATGCATACATGCTGGTATTCCTGATTTTATGTGTACTCCTGGCTTCCCTTGCTTAAAAAGCCTTCCCTATCCCTACACCCCAGGGCAACCTCCTGTGGAATTTACTATCAGCTCTAATATTCCTTCCTAAATGTAGACTTGAAAATTATCTCCCATCTCCATCTTCTCTGGGGTTCCCTACTTTCTTCTCTTTGATCATCTATCACAGCACTTAGCAACTTGCCTTATGGTAATTTGGCTACTTATCCATCCCACACTGTGTTATTTGCAGCTCTGGCCTCAGGATCTGACTTTCCATTTTCTCACTTTCCTACAGGAGCAAAGTTGTGGCCAGGACCATTGACAGTCCAGTAGTTCGTTCTGGGCTTAGGTAGAGGTACCCTGCAGTTAGCTGGGGTGGTCCGAAGAGGCTTTTGCTGAGCAGACTCTTGCTTGAAGATAGAGGTAATTGCTTGAAGGGAATGTATACACCCTTTCTGATTCTTGATCTTCCTTAATGTGGAGATAGGGGATGAAGACAGGAGTATAGTAGAGTTGCTCCGTATAAGACCTGATCACTTTCCAAAAGGGGCAGGACCACCAGGCAGCAAAACTGTATCATCTGTATCATTTTAATTTAAAAAGGAAAGCAGAGTTCTGGTTCAAGAGCCATCAAAACTGCTTCTGGGCAATATCACAATGTGTCGATCATAAGGAGTTACAGGCCCTGCTTGTAGCCTTTGCTGAACCCAAAACCCTAATCAAAATGATGTGTTTTGGTTTCCAGCCAAGTCTTGCCTTTGAATCTTTACTGAAATAGATTAAGGGAAATTGAGATGTCATATAGACAAGGTCCTGGTCAATGAGCTCAGCTATAAATCAAACCAAAGCACTACAGATAGAAGCCAGGTGTATAACCCATATCTCAAAGAAAATCAACCTCCTTCCCTGCACCCCCTCCCAACCTCGAGGAACTTATATGGTCCTTCATATACTGCCCATTTTGGGCACTGTGCCTTGATGTTTCTGTTATCCAAAAGGGGTTCCGATTCAGACCCCAAGGGGTGGTTTTTGAACCTCACGCAAGAAAGAATTCTGGGCGAGTCCACAGAGCAAAGTGAAAGAAAGTTTACTAGGAAAGTAAAGGAATAAAGAATCGCTTCTCCATAGGCAGAGCAGTGGCATGGGCGGCTTGAGTGAATATACTTATAGTTATTTATTGATGATATGCTTATGCTAAACAAGGGTTGGATTATTCATGAGTTTTCCGGGAAAGGGCAGGCAATTCCTGGAACTGAGAGTTCCTCCTCCTTTTAGACCATATAGGGTAACTTCTGGACGTTGCCATGACATTTGTAAATAGTCATGGCACTGGTGGGAGTGTCTTTGAGCATGCTGATGCATTATAATTAGTGTATAATGAGCAATGAGGATGATCAGAGGTCACTTTTATTGCCGTCTTGGCTTTGGTGGGTTTTGGCTGGCTTCTTTACTGTGTCTTGTTTTATCAGCAGGGCTTTTGTGACCTGTATCTTGTGCTGACCTATCTCATCCTGTGACTAAGAATGCCTCTGGGAATGCAGCGCAGGAGGCCTCAGCCTTATTTTCCCCAGCCCCTATTCAAGATGGAGTTGCTCTAGTTCAAACGCCCCTGACGTTTCCATGATTTCACTGTTTCTGAGGAAGCATTCACTGCCAAGTAACACTGCGTGTCGCCCTCAGCTCTTAAGATCTCTTAGTACACAATACTATCTTTAGCTCTTGGAATATTGACCAAATGCAACATTCATTAGAAGGATGTTCCAGATCAGAAACCCAAGTGGTAATTGGATGGTAATTCCAATGGTTAATTGTGATGGTAATTCCATCACACTAAAAGTACAACTGTGTCCTTTCCATTGTAATTAAGATTCATAAGTAACGATCTTCTGAAAGCAGTATATTAGTTTCAGCATATAATTTTAGGATGCTTCCTATAAAAAGTATCTGAGTGTAATCCCAGCTACTCAGGAGGCTGAGGCGGGAGAATCGCTTGAACCTGGGAGGCGGAGGTTGCAGTGAGCCGAGATCATGCCATTGCACTCCAGCCCAGGCAACAAGAGTGAAACTTCATCTCAAAAAAAAAAAAAAAGGATCAGAGTACATTATTGAACGTTATTGAAAGTAGTTAAAACTCACATTTTTAAAAGTGAAGATAAGGCATCCTATGGTTGTTTAAATCAGAAGTGCCATATTGGTATCAGGGACTTGGGTGTATTCTATATTCTAATTTTGCTGTCATTTGACTTGTCCCTTCCTGGTTTCAAGACAGTTGTTACACTTCAGGAATCAGACAAAGACAATGTCTTACAAAACAAAGGTTAATTATATAAGATCTTTTTTTTTTTTTTTTAAACTAGGGAGAAAACCCAATCTAATAAGTCTCCCAGCAATCTCCCACCAGGTCACATGGGCCACAGTTAGATCTCACTCTTAGCACAAACTGGAAGAAGGAATGGAAATAGAATACACAGCATTTTCAGTCCTATACTTAGCCAGAATGGAGGAGGGGATGTCGGAGTGATGCAGGGAAAGGAGGAAATGGCTATTTTGAAGGCAATCAACAATGTCTACCCATCCTCCAAGAACGCAAAGAATCAGCGCAAAGAATAATTGGTCATTCAGTGTCTTTCAATGCACTACCTATGTTCTGAATTTTTTTGGAGCGGGGAGGGGGATGGAGTCTTGCTCTGTGGCCCAGGCTGGAGAGCAGTGGCTTGATCTGGGCTCACTGCAACCTCCGCCTCCTGGATTCAAGTGATTCTCCTGCCTCAGCCTCCCCGCCCAAGTAACTGGGACTACAGGTATGTGCCGCCATGCCTAGCTAATTTTTTTGTGGTGTGTATTTTTAGTAGAGATGGGGTTTCACCATGTTGGCCAAGCTGGTCTCAAACTCCTGACCTCAAGTGATCCACCCGCCTCCACCTCCGTCTCCCATGGTGCTGGGATTACAAGCATGAGACACCACGTCCTGCCCGATGTTTCTAATATTAAAGGCCTTTCACTAACGTCATTTACATTAAGTGCTTGTTTCTTACCTACTCATATTCTGATCTGATTTCTGTCTAACTTTAAACACTAGACACCATACCCTGACTTCAATCTTGCTATTGTCTACTTCTATTTGATGTTTGAACTAATTACTCGAATGTTTCACTCCCAACTCTTTCTCATGGACTTTCAGTTTAGCCTTAGATTTCTGACTTCTGTACTCCAGATTACTTTGATGGGTGACTTAGTTTGCTGGGACCCCACAGTTAGCATTGGCTGCCTGACAAGAGCAGATGGATTTCACATGCCCTCCCATCCCCAACAGTGTCAGCACAGAGCATTTGTACCAAGACACCAGGTGGAAAACACCATGGAAAACTTGGGACCATCCTCTTTTCTGTTTCCACCTGTGATAAGAATTACAAAGATACTATTTAGGGACAAAAGGATTCTAAATATTATAAGAAAAGAAACTTACAATAATAGAAAAGCAGACAATTGTTTCCCTACCCCTACACTTAAAACAACACTTCGGGAGGCTGAGGCGGGTTGGGTCACCTCAGGTCAGGAGTTCGAGACCAGCCTGGCCAACACAGTGAAACCCCGTCTCTACTAAAAATACAAAAATTAGCCGGGAGTGGTGGCACACGCTTGTAGTCCCAGCTACTCAGGAAGCTGAGGAAGGAGAATCGCTTGAACCTGGAAAGCGAAGGTTGCCATTAGCTGAGATCCCACCACTGCACTCCAGCCTGGGAAACAGAGCGAGACTCCATCTCAAGAAAAAACAAACAAACAAACAAAAAAAACCAAGAAGGTTCCACATATTCTGTGACTCCATTTCTATAAAACGTACAGAATAGGGAAATCCACACAGCAGAAAGTAGATGGGTGGTTGCCAGGGTCTGGGAGAGGTTGTGGGGAAATGGGGAGTGACGGCTAATGTGTACAGGTTTATTCTGGGGTGATAAAAATGTTCTAAAATTGGCCGGGTATGGTGACTCATGCCTGTAAGCCTAGCACTTTGGGAGGCTGAGGCAGGTGGATCACCTGAGGTCAGGAGTTGGAGACCAACATGATGAAACCCCGTCTCTACTAAATACAAAAAATTAGCTGAGCGTGGTGGTGCACACCTGTAATCCCAGCTACTTGGGAGGCTGAGGCAGGAGAATCGCTTGAACCCGGGAGGCAGAGGTTGCAGTGAGCCAAGATTGCACCATTGCACTCCAGCCTGGGCAACAAGAGCGAAATTCTGTCTCAAAAAAAAAAAAAAGTTCTAAAATTGGTTGTGGTGGTGGTTGCACAACTTTATGAATATAATAAAAGCTATTGAATTGTACACTTTAAATGGGTGAATTATATAGTATATAAGTTATATCTCGCTAAACCTGTTTTTTTTAAAAAGAACTTAAGATTTTGAAAAGTGTTATTCATTAGATTCCAGTGGTGTGATTGCAGCCTCGTAATCCACTTCACCAGCTTGCAAATGCTTGACACATTACTAAAGAAAAGATGAGGATTTGCCGATACTCTGGTGCTATAGAAGTATTTCTATTCTTCAGTGTTCAAACCAAAAACTGTGAATCCGCTGGATGAGTAGGAAAAGCAGAGGACATAATGTTCTTCAGTTAGACACTGTCTTTTTTTTTTTTTTTTTAAATTGAGACGGAATCTTGCTCTATTGCCCAGGCTGGAGTGCAGTGGTGCCATCTTGGTTCATTGCAACCTCTGCTGCCCGGGTTCATGCGATCCTTGTGTCTCAGCTTCCTGAGTAGCTGTGAGTACAGGTATGCGACAGCATGCCTGGCTAATTTTTTTGTATTATTAGTAGAGATGGAGTTTTGTCATGTTGGCCAGGCTGGTCTGGAACTCCTGACCTCAGGTGATCCTCCCACCTCGGCCTCCCAAAGTGCTGGGATTACAGGTGTGAGTCACTGCACCTGGCCTAGACACTGTCTTTAACAGAAATGTACATGCCACTGTCCCCCAGACTTTGGTCGTTATTGATGTGATTGCTGGAACATAATGCTTCAAATTATCCCTCAATTCCTGGACTAAATCAATGGTTTTACATGATTATCACTGAAACGTAATCCATTAAGTGCTTAATTTACATCATATTAACAATCTCAGTACACTGGGAGTTTCTGGTTTGTGACAGATCAGGAAAAATATCACTTCAACCAATGCCTGTGAAACATTTTTCCTTGAGTGCAAATGAATGTTTCAGTCTAGTTTTTGTATGTGAACATCATGGTAACCAACTTCAGGAAAAAGTTTCTATCCTTTTTTTCTAACAGATAATACTATTTTCAACATATAAAAGGAATGTATTATTTCTAGGGATACTTCAGGTCCCAGCAGCTTCTGAGTCTTCTCAACAATTACACTAGGTAAGTACCCTTGGATATCCACATTTGCAGCTTCAAGTTTTACAGATTAAATCGTTCTGATAGTTTTAATGCTTTGTGCACTAGGATGCAAAGATGCTAATTTTTCACTGCATAGAGTAGCTTCTTTAATTTTTTATGTTCTCTATTACATTATAAGAATTGCATATTATTTATTTATTCTATGCATTGGCCCCATTCTTCTTTTCTTTGCCCGCTCAGGTTTTCTGTTTTGCCTCCTGGTATTCCTTCGGCTGCATTCACCTCAGTTTCCCTTGCTAACTCTCCTTTGCTTAAGGTTACTTTTTTTTTCCTTTTTTTAGACAGTATCTTGCTTTGTTGCCAAGAGTGAAGAGCAGTAGTGCTATCATGGCTTACTGCAGCCTCAAACTCCTGGGCTCAAGCAATCCTCCCATCTCAGCCTCCCAAGTAGCTGGGACTACAGCTACTGATTTTTAAATTTTTTGTAGAGATGGGATCTCTCTATTTTGCCCAGGCTAGTCTCCAACTCCTGCCTTGGCAATCAGGCAATCCTCCTGCCTTGGCCTCCCAAAGTGCTGGGATTACAGGTGTGAGCCACCATGCCCAGCCCACTTAGTTTTAAATACTGCTGTTATATGTCATTTCATCCATAGCTTCTAACTCTGTACACTCTCTATTGAGGAAAGCTGGGCTTTTTGTTTCTGTACATTCTCCATGCCACCTAGCACTGGTAATAACAATATTAATCACAATTCACATTTTTGGAGAACACTGTTGAGTTTCATGAGCCTATATCATTTAATTGCCAGGCTTGTTAGGCAGATATTGTACTGTTATGTATCTTATACAGAATGAAACGGGGTTTAGCAAGAATAAGTAATATCACCAGGATCACATGATTAGCAAGTGTTGGGCCTGGGCAATCAGACTCCAGAGCTTAGACTGAACCACTGCACTGTCTTTTTCCTGATAACCAGGCAATAGGCTTCACTTCTTAGCCTCAAAGATGAATGGAGGCTTGGCATATCAGAATATTTGCATATCCCATTTTTTAAAAATAGAGGCAGGGCGTCGCTGTCACCCAGGCTGGAATGTAGTGGCACAATCATGGCTCACAGCAGCCTCATCCTCCTGGGCTCAAATGATTCTCCCATCTCAGCCCCCCAAGTAGCTGGGACTACAGGTGCGCACCACCACGCCCGGCTGTTTTTTTTTTTTAATTTTTTTAAATTTTTAGTAGAGACAAGGTCTGTCTAAATTCCCCAGGCTGATCTCAAATTCCTGAGCTCAAACGATCCACCCACCTTGGCATCCCAAAGTGCTGGGATTATAGGAGTAAGCCACTGCGCCCAGCCTATACCTCACATTTTCATTTAAATTTGTAATCATTCTAGATCTTGCCATCATAAATTTGAATTATGGACTGCTGATACTTTTCTAGAATATTCAGATATTTAATCTAATTATTCTGAGGACTACTGATTTATAATGTTGAGATATAAAGGTTTGTTATAGTAATTTACATTTAGAATATTTGCAATGGAAAACTGTGTTTGATTACTTCTGGTTCTAAAAAGTATTTTTTATAGGAAGAGGAATTGCCACCAATCTTGTTATAGTTAACTATACTATGACTTCTTTGGTCTTGGTAAAATAAAATCAATTGCAATAAAAGTTATGTGATTTTTTTTGGAGTCTTCATTTTCTATCCTTTTTCTCTTTGCAGATTCTTTTTAGGCATAATAAACAAGTAGTTCTAATAGACCAATTTTAAAGCACAATGCAAAAATTTATTCTTTTAGGAAGTACAGCATACCTTAGAGATATCGAGAGTTCAGTTCCAGGTTCCAGACCACCACAAAAAAGCAAATATTTAGGTAAAGCGAATATCACAATAAAGAGTTACGAATGCTGACACAGAGACACGAAGTGAGCACATGCTGTGGGAAAAATCTCACTGATAGATGTTCGACACAGGGTTGCCACAAATCTGCAATTTGTAAAAACCCATAATATCTGCAACGTGCAATAAAGTGAAGCATGATAAAATGAGGTATGCCTGCAAACCAAATTGTTAGCATTCCCTAAATACATCACCCTCTATTTCTCTGTGTCTTTACCACACACCTAAGTCCTTTTCCTATAGGATCTTACCCCCACCCTATCTCTGGTACCCTCCCTGTGCTTGCTGAATTCCTCCTTATCCTACTTACCTTCTGTGGCTCTCCTAATATCACTTCCTGGGCGACATCTTTCAAGACCCTTGCAGGAGAAGTTAGTGTTTCTCTAATGATTTCATGGCACTTTGTCCAAATCTGTACCAAAGTACTTATTTCATTGTACTACAATTACTTGTTTATATCTTCCTCTGTCATTGTGGACTACTTGAGAGGGGCTATATCTTTTCCACTGTCACAATATCATATGTGCTCAGGAAGTGAGGGAAGCAGTGAGCGAGAAACATCCACATGAAGGGCATTGAAGGGTAATGAGAGGTGATGAGATAGGAAACCTGGGGAAATGCCTAAATTAGCATTTTGCTTTTTGCCATGTACACAGTATTCTACCTGGAGAAAAAGCAGTGAAAGGAGTAAGGTTATGGTTAGCCCAATTAGAATTGAGGAAGAAATTCATATATGGTTTACTATATTTTTTGAATATTCCATGTTGAATGTATTTATATTGCTTTGAAAGATGATTCCTTTCCTTGCTGAAAATATCTCATGTGATATTTTAAATACATTCTGTGTGGACTTTAGGCATACCCTGAGACTCTCCCAAAACCTTTGACATAAAATATATTTTCTATGAAGAAAGTTAGTGAATTGTATGAAAAGTTATCATCCATTGGAATTATTACTGGCAAATGAAATGCTATTCTGCGGTAAAAGATTTTTTTTCATTTCAAAGTATTGTATATTTCACATAATAGACAAATTTTGATAGCAAGATCACATTTTAGAAGGCTGTCATCTTCTAATAATTGTGTTAATACCTGCCATATTGTCTTAGTTTGTTTAAGAGGCTAAAACAGGATACCACAGACTGCGTGGCTTAAACAACAGAAATGTATTTCTCGTAGTCCTGGAGGCTGGGACGTCCAAGTTCAACGTGTCAGCAGATTCAGTGTCTAGTGAGGGTCCACTTCCTGGTTCATAGACAGCCATCTTCTCACTGTGTCTTCACATGGTGGAAGGGGTGAAGAAGCTCTCTGAGGTCTCCTCTACCATAAGGACATTATGTCATTCGTGAGGACTCTACCTTCATGGTCTAATCACCTCCCAAAGGCCCTACTTCCAAATACCATCACACTGGGGATTAGGCTTCCTCGTCTGAATTTTGAAAGACACAAACATTCAGACTCTAGCAGATATTGACGTTATTTATTTCCCCTGGGTTTCTAGATTATCAAAGCCTGATGTATGGTGGGGGGAGTTACTCAGATCATCTCAGTACAGCTTGCCATATTTTTAAATTAAGGAGGTAATTTTAGAACATGGGTGCCTGTAATCCCAGCTACTCTGGAGGCTGAGGCAGGAGAATCGCCTGAACCCGGGAGGCACATGTTGCAGTGAGCCGAGATTGCGCCATTGCACTACAGCCTGGGCAACAAGAGTGAAACTCTGCCTCAAAAAAAAATAATAATAATAAATAAAATAACATATGAAAAACTCTGCTGAGGTAAGAAAAGGTAATGACTTTTCCTTAATTTAAAAATAATCAGCTCTTCATCTCCCCCTTAAGGGGCTGCTTGGAGGGTATTTGTGTTTGGGAAAAATCAGAACTTTCAAACCTTCTTTTAGTGAACCAGAGTTGTGAGAGTAATTACATGAAAGTATGGAGGTAGACATCTTGAGTAAAGGGTTTTGTACCTCTAGCAAGTTTAGGTGAAGTGGGCCTTGAATGAACGTGTGATTTCTAAAGCTTGAGAAGTCATTGATAACATTCTGTAAACAGACTTTGGAGTAGCAGAGCATTATTTTAATAGCTAAAGGTCTATCGCTCCTGCACTCAACGATACAATTCTGAGTGGGCCCGTGTCCTAATATCACAACTACTCTAGGCTATAGAGCAACTTTGAAAGTTCTAGAACTTTTGAACTTTCACATTTGAACCACAGAATGGCTCTCTCTCATTTTTCCCTTACTTTTCTCTGCTGTTTGAATCAGGGGTCAGTCGAGTCTTTCTATAAAGGGCCAGATAGCAAATTAGGCTTTGCGGCCATCTGGTCTCCGTCTAAGCTGCTCAGCCCTACTATTGCAGTGCGAAAGCAGCCATAGACGATATGTAAATGAATGGCATGGCTGTGTGTCACTATCAGTTTCTTTATAAAAACGGGCAGCCATCTTGAAGTCATATAGCTTGCTGACTAGTGGTTTAGAAGAGCTAGAAAGAAATTCTGGGCTGAGGTGTTTCGGGTTTTTATGTTTATTTATTTCACATATATAAACGTGGGCATGGGGAAATCTGTGATCCAGGGAAATGTTCTTTTTCTTCCTCTGGGTGCTGGTTATACAGGAATTTTAACTTTGCTAAACTTCAACAAGCTTACAATGATCATTTGTGCATTTTTGTATATATATGCTATATTTTAATTTAAAAATCTATTTTAAAACGTTTTTTCCAGTTTTTTTCTTTTTCTTTTAAAAAATGTCTTAATAGTGTTCTAGCTTTCTGCTTCCAAACATTTCTAGAGGACCATAACCATATGCAAAGTTCTTTTCTTTTCTTTTTTTTTTTTTTTAGAATTCCATTTAGACATTTTATTCCTTGAAGCATGTAAAAGTACGTAAACACCCCAAAAGGTTATATCAGAAGTCAAAGCATTGTGATCTCTCTGGATGCTTTTCAGACATCGTGGGTGAGCGTTCTGAATCCCCTGTCCCCACTGCCCCGGCCAGCTTTGCCTGGAGAGCTACTGAGATTTTCTACCATCTAGTCTTGGGATGCTGAAGCCTCAAGAGGTTAGGAATGAATGCAATTCTCACCCACCTGGCAATGTTGGTATGCAAGCTTTGGTTGGTATGAGACCACCTCATCCTATTGAAGTTCTTTTCTTGTCTTTCACCATGGAATCATTTACTTGGGAATTGAACAATGAGAACACATGGACACAGGAAGGGGAACATCACACACTGGGGACTGTTGTGGGGTGGGGGGAGAGGGGAGGGATAGCATTAGGAGATATACCTAATGCTAAATGACGAGTTAATGGGTGCAGCACACCAACATGGCACATGTATACATATGTAACAAACCTGCACATTGTGCACATGTACCCTAAAACTTAAAGTATAATAATAATAATAAAATAAAATAAAATAAAAAAAAAGAAGTGACATGCACCTGTACTCCTAGCTGCTTGGGAGGCTTGAGGACTCCTTTAGCAAAGTTCTTTTCTAGACATAGTTTTATTTCAGCTTTGGATAAGCCTGTTTTATTTCTTTGCTTATTTGGACCTGGGCTGAGTTTTGAACTCCCCCACAAAACTTTCCATGTTATCCATGAAAAGACGCATCATACTCCAGAGACCAGCCTTCTTTCTGGCTGTCACATTTCACCAGAAGTTTCACAACTGCCCAAATTCCCACCCACTCTTGGAAAGTCTGTCACATGTTTTACTCTTTTACGACTTCGTGTGAACATGTAAATGCCAAGCCAAGCAAGAACCCTGCTACCCGCCCCTTCTTTCAAGCAAAAAACAAAAACAAAACAAAACAAAACACAGGGTGTGAAAACCCGTGTTCTAGTTTTTGAGGAATTTCAAAGTGGCCAGTGGGATGGAGTATGGAATTTTAGAAGAAAATGACTCATCAGAATTTTATTTCGAGAAGAAGAAAGAAGCTTTTCTCAATGCCCTGCATCAGGCGCAGTCCTGAGATTGTTCACCATTTTTACCTTCTTCAATTTGAGTCCAAGAGCTTTTTAAAAATATACGTCAGCTAGCAGAGCAGATTTTGTGCACTTTTTCCAATTATGCTGTTAATAATTTTAGAATTTGGAATGGAAGATTTTAGTGCTTCCGTTTTAGTCACCTTGAAGAAAACAAAGCAGCGTGTATCAAAATTCTAAGAAGTATGCACATCATTTATTTCCAAAATTAATTCCTAGGAATTCATCCCAGGAAATTAGGGAATTGTTCAAAAATGTATGTGGGGTGATAGCCATCGAAAATTGTTCATGCGATGGCTCACGCTTGTAATCCCAGCACTTTGGGAGCCTGAGGCGGGCAGATCACCTGAGGTCAAGAAGTTTGAGACCATCCTGGCCAACATGGTGAAACTCTGTCTCTACTAAAAATACGAAAATTAGCTGGGTGTGATGGTGGGTGCCTGTAGCCTCAGCTACTCGGGAGGCTGAGGCAGAAGAATTGCTTGAACCCAGGAGGTGGAGAGGCAGAGGTTGCAGTGAGCTGAGATTGTGCCACTGCACTCTAGCCTGGGCGACAGAGTGAGACTCTGTTTCAAAAATAAATAAACAAACAAATAAAAATAAAAAAGATTTCTCAGATATAAATAAGTAAGAAATAACATAAACATCCAATAATTGTGGCTTATTTCAATACATTAGGGCCCATTCTTCTATGGGATGACTGTAGCAGCCACTCATGAGTAGTGCACCTCTATGTCTATTCATGGGGAATATGTGGATGCTGCATTTCCTCTCCAGTCAGGACTCAGATTTCAAGTAACTCCAAACCCAAATCAAAGGGATTTAATCAAAATAGATTCTTTCATGCAAATGAATAGTCAGGGCATAAATTTGGCTTTGCGTAGAGATGAAACGAGGGACTCCAAGAATGTCCAGATTTGCTTTTGCTCTTTCTCTCTTCATCTTGGAGAGATGCTCTTTTCTGTGTTAGTGCCATTCCCAACCTACTCCTTCTATATGGTGATCTGCAGCACATTTGGGCTTTCTCCAAGGCTGTCTCCAACGCCAGAGGGAGAATAGCACCTCCTTTTTAATTGTGTCAGCAAAACCCTTAAGCCTGATTCTCAATGGTTGCAACTTGCGTTTCATTCCTATTTCTGATATGATTATTGTGGCTAGAGGGGTGGGTGAGGCCTGGCTCACATGCCTGGCATGAGCTGAGGGCAAGATCAGGATACCAGTTCACAGGCACTGAATGTAGAGGAGTGATTCCCAACAGGAAAATTGTGATGCTACTACCAAAAGAGAGAAAATGATTGTTTTCCTGTTACATTTATGGAATAATATCAAATTTCAGCATCACTAACCATCACTATGTATAATAGTTGTGGAAAGGTTATACAAAGTAAAATTATTGTTAATACTTATTTGTATAAGCTAATGAAGAAGGAACCATGGGTAGTGACATAGCTTGGATGTTTGTCCTCTCTAAATCTCATGTTGAAATGTGAACCCAAATGTTGGAAGTGAAGCCTCGTGGGAGGTGTTTGGGTCATGGGGGTGGATCCCTCATGAATGGCTTGGTGCCCTCCCTGCAGTCATGAGTTAGTGCATGTGATAGCTGGTTTTTCAAAAAAGCATAGCATCTCTCTTGCTTCCTCTCTCACCATGTGACGAGTCTGTTCCCCTTTCACCTTCCTCTGTGATTGGAAGCTTCCTGAGTTCTTCACCAAAAGCAGATGCTGGCAGTATGCTTTTTGTACAGTCTGCAGAACCTTGAGCCAAAAATAAATCTCTTTTCTTTATACATTTACCCAGCCTCGGATATTCCTTTATAGCAACCCAGAACGAACTAACATGGGTAAAATCTATAGTCCTCATTTCTGAAATGATTAGAAGGTCCTAAATGGTATTTAGTATAATTTCTTACCCACTGCTATATTAGTTAGGAAAAACCAAAAGGTGTGTTAAAGGTGATGTCTTCTATTGTTTATCTAACAAGAGGTCCTGCAGAAGAGGAACGTAATGTTAAATGGGACGCGGTGATGTGGTCTTGGGTTGGGCTTCTTAGAAACAAAGATTGTGTGATTATTCAGAGCGAGCTCTCAGGTGAAAGGTAAGGGGATGAGGAAAGCAGAATAGGGCAAGGAAAGCAATAGGTGATAAAGTGGGTTCAGGAGCTTCAGGCTGATCTCCATGGAGAGCTCTAGAGTGTGGATGGTGTCATGAAATTTTTCTCTCTTGGGCAAGAAGCCAGGCTCCTGCCTTCTATCAGTCAGCCATTGGCTATGGGCTGCAACCTTCCAGCCATTTCTAGGTGAGCCCATAGGATTTTCAGGAGAAGGATGCTGTTGTGAGCTATGAGCAGCTAGCACTCACAACAGCACAGGGATGGTGACTTGGTCTGATAAGGGGGGCCTGTGCTGGTACCAACAGTGTCTAATATTGTTCTGTCCTTTGGACCAGTCCCATCTACTCCCTTCTCATATTCACTTCACTCCATTTCAAGCATAGATTTTCCAGGATTCTGGCTGATGACAATTTCTGGGAATCTTACAAGAGGAGGGAAGAGGGTCCCAATACTGCAACTGACCCCAATCATTTTCTCTCCCTACCACCTGTTCTGCATTCCTCTCACCCTTGTTTGACACTTTCACTGAAGGATGGATTCACTGGCTAGATAAATGGCTGGGCATCAGCAGCGTCTGCTACAGATGTCAGGAAGGATCCAGGCTTTTTCTATCCTTCTATTTCGCCATCATTGGCGTTTTGAATTTCATCTTCATGCTTGTTTCTTCATGAATCCAGGATATTTGCTGCAGCTCCAGACATTAATTTTCCTCACAGGCAGGATTAGAAGATGGGAAGAAACTAGCTTTCCTTTTACTGAGAAGAAAAACAACTTTCAGAAGCCTCCTTTTCATCCACCCTTCAGACTTCCTGAATTTTTCGCGTTAGGATTGGGTCACATGACTGCATCTACCCATAGGAGAGGCAGAGAAGGAAAGACTACATAGGTAGCAAAAGGGAATGTGTCCTAATAGGGAGAAATGGGCTTAAGAAGGTGCTACTTGATTAAGCATCCACTGGTGTCTTCCTCTTTCACTATGCATCATTTGCATACACTTTTTTTCCCATATATCACATTATATGGGAATATAATGTGATATATTATATTTATTTGGAGGATTATATCAATCCTCCAAAATAAATATGCATTTACCCCTGGCCCTAGAGAATAAACCCCCAAATCTCATCCAGTTTCTACATTCAGCTTGAAGCCCTATATCACTGGTGATAAGCAAGTCTGGATTTGGCTTCTTATGTGTGGTGACCTGTAACTAAAAGACCAATTTGTCTGACATGGAAAGAGTTAAGGACATGCCACCCCAAAATATGCAGATTTGGCTTACTGCTTATTTAGAGCTGAAAATACTAGAGAAAAAACACTTGCAGAAAAGGCTGTCAGACTTGCCCCTTCTTGCCTGTTGTAAGCCCTAAAAATTCTTCTGAGAAAGATGCCTTTCCTGTACCAGGATGAGAAAATAACCCTTATCACTAGAGACTGGGAATTGATCTGCAATAGATCTGTACAAATAAACTTCCTAAAATCACCCTTAACTTCCGCTAGCTTTACACCCTCCTTTCCCTTGACTTCCCCACAATTTGCTACCCCTAGCCCAAACTTCTTTGTCACCATTTCACAAATTTATTATTTCTACTAAAAACAAAAGGTAAAAAAGCTTTCTACTCTGGCCATTTCTTAGGAGCTTCACTGTTTTGTGTAAGGCGCCCTGTACATGTAAAGATTAACAACACTTGCGTGCATTTCTCCTGTTAACCTGTCTTAAGGTTATTTAATTCTTAGACCCCATTGAAGATACTAAGGGAGTAAATGAGAATGTATCCTTCTTCCCAACACTGCAAACACACTTAAAATACAGTGAGGGAGAAAATTAGAAATCCACAGTGAAGTTTTGGGGAAAAGGGGAAGTAGAAAACAACTATAGGCCGGGCGCGGTGGCTCACGCCTGTAATCCCAGCACTTTGGGAGGCCGAGGCAGGTGGATCATGAGGTCAGCAGATCGAGACCATCCTGGCTAACAAGGTGAAACCCCGTCTCTACTAAAAAGACAAAAAAATAGCCGGGCGCGGTGGCGGGCGCCTGTAGTCCCAGCTACTCGGGAGGCTGAGGCAGGAGAATGGCGTGAACCCGGGAATCGGAGCTTGCAGTGAGCCGAGATTGCGCCACTGCACTCCAGCCTGGGCGACAGAGCGAGACTCCGTCTCAAAAAAAAAAAAAAAAAAAAAAAAGAAAACAACTATAGCAGTGCCTGCTGAGCCATATTGGAACCTAAGGCCAAAGGGGGAAATAAAAATCAGTAATACGGGCTGGGCGCAGTGGCTCACGCCTGTAATCCCAGCACTTTGGGAGGCTGAGGTGGGCAGATCACTTGAGGTCAGGAGTTCAAGGCCAGCCTGGCCAACATGGTGAAACCCCGTCTCTACTAAAAATACAAAAATTAGCCAGGCGAGTTGGCGGGTGCCTGTAATCCCAGCTACTCGGGAGGCTGAGGCAGGAGAAACGCTTGAACCTGGGAGGTGGAGGTTGTAGTGAGCTGAGATCATGCCATTGCACTCCAGCCTGGGTGACAGAGCGAGACTCCGTCTCAATAAAATAAAATAAAATAAATCAGTAATACGATGCATATATAAAATTTTGATATTCTGTTCATCATAGATTTTTTGCAGTCACTTAGATTTTCTAAATATTGCATTAAAATATTACTTATCTTAATTACCGAGTGTTTTAGCACCTGCTTGAACTTTGTGCCCCAGATGAGTGCCTCATCCACCTCACCTTAGCTCCAGTCCTGCCTATATTAAATACCCTTTGCAATGTAATAGCTTCCCCAATGGGCCAATCTCATTTGTCAATGTTGGTTTCTGCTCTTTAGGAAAATTCTTTCCCATTATTTTCCATGGCCCTTCAGAGACAGACCTGTATTGGTAGGAGGTAATTCACGGTGGATGCAATGCATTTATGATCCCATTCTACTTGGTGTAAGTTCTGAGACTAAAAAGTTGAATAGTCATAAACTAACTGCAGCCAGGCCTCACGTTTTTGTCACAATACAGTTCTCTCAAAAATTTAACGTTTTTCTATTTGTTTCTAATCAATTTCATGTCCTAATTATCATAATCAAAGATTTTGTCTACACACAGTTTTTAAGTCCAATGAGTTTCCTAAGCACTAGTCTTGAGGCTACTCATTCTTCTAGAGTTAAATGGTCTCTGCACTGCAGCAATTTGAAATACTATCCTCTACTTAGGAGATGCTAAGCTTAACTGCATTTTTCTGGCGAGCGTATTCCTTTTATCCTTCCAAGCACGTTTAATGAAGACATTTTCAAAAAGGGGTGAGTCTCAAACTTGTCAATAATATTTGCTATTAAACCCATAACTTCTGTGCTGGTGCTTGTTTAGATGTTGGGTATAGAAGTTGGCTGTTCCAACCCAACAAGATTACAATGATGGGACAACTCAGTTAAATTCATGCAACAGATTACGATGAATATCTCTTTTAGCAAAGCTGCAGTTTCTTTCAGGCCAGGCACCTCCATTTGAACTTTCAACCTCTCTTGTGGGACTTCACTGAAAGACACAGGATCAAGGAACATTTGCCAATATTCTGAGCCTGGAATGTTTGAGTTCTCACTGTCCTGATATACCTCCTTCACTCATTCATTTCTTTATTTTAGGGACTGTCACTAATAACACCTCAATTCCAAGGTCCAAGTTTTTATTAAGCTGTTCTTTAGCTTTGCCTCATGGCTAACTTGGAATTTTGAAAATGACATCAAAGACGCAGGTTTTCTCTGTCCTTCCACACTCTCTCTTCCTTGGTTTATTGGCTTTTTGCCCTCATGACATTGCCTTACAATTGGAAGATGAGCGTGGGAAAACAGTTTTTCTTATATCAGGGGGCAAAAAAAAAAAGACCCCATGAACACAAATTTCCCAACTGAGTCCCCCGTTATTTGTTTGTGGTTGTTTGTTGGCTAAAACTACAAGAGGCTGAGAAAGTATCTGACTAGACAGGAAAGGGATTGCCATGTTTATCTTGACAAATCATGATTGTTGAAGATTTAAACCAGTATCAGTAGAGATCAAACAAACCAACTGACCAACCAACCAAACAAAACAGAGCTGATTTTGTTAACTTGCAAAGCAAAGTAATATATTGCCAGTAAAGAAATTCACTCATTGAAAAAAGTCAGGACTTTTTAAGTAAAAGAAAAGGGGAATTGGTGCTTATGCTAATTAAGCATTGAAAACCAGCACTCTGGATAAGTGGTAATGAGTCCATGAGTAGGCTCACAATTGGTTAAAGCAAGTTCTATTGTTCACTGGTCGGAAAAGAGTGGGTCCTTTTTTAGCTTCAGCTGGTCTGAATCCATCAGGATAAAGCACCATAATAAGTTTTGATACCACCTTGCTAAAGGCTACTGAAAATGGAAATTTACTTTTAAACATAATTCATCCCTGGGTCTGGAGCTATTAGTTAAAAAGAGAAAGGAGGGTTTCTTTTAAAAACAAAGAGAAAGGGGAGGAAGCCGCAGGTTGATACTCCAGCATGAACTTCTCACGCTCCTGTACATCTTGCTGGGTATTCCAAGAACGCAAGACCCTGGCCGTTTTCTACTTGGGCCATTGCTCAGATGTATGTTGGCAGTAAGCAACATTTAGGCGTGAGGCAATGTCTTTTCTCTGGGGCAGAGAGCAGGCTTGCTTACTGGTTGGTTTTGACTTCTGAATGTTAAATCAATCTTGCATTCCTGGTAAGGGAGGAGACCACCCTTCATATTGTCTTATGCCCAATTTCTGCCTCCAAAGAAAGAAGAAGTAAAAATTAAAAGGCAGAAATGGAATCCACAGGCAGACAGCCCAGCACTATACCCTGGGCCTGGTAGTTAAAAAATCAACCCCTGACCTAACTGCTTGTGTTACCTATAGATTTCAGACATCGTATGGAAAAGCATCGTGAAAATCCCTGTCCTGTTCTGTTCCGTTCTGATTACCAGTGCATGCAGCCCCCAGTCACATACCCTCTGCTTGCTCAATCAATCACGACCCTCTCACACAGACCCCCTTAGAGTTGTAAGCCCTTAAAAGGGACAGGAATTGCTCACTCGGGGAGCTTGGTTTTTGGAGACATGAGTCTGCCGATGCTCCCAGCTGAATAAAACCCTTTCCTTCTACAACTTGGTGTCTGAGAGGTTCTTGTCTATGGCTCATCCTGCTACACTGGGATACATCTACCATTGGTCAACATGTATTATCTTTTTAATATATTGTTGAATTTTGTTAGCTACCAAATTATTTAGAAATTTTGTATCTTTGCTCGTGAGTAATATCAATGTAATGCTTGCCTCATAGAATATGTTGGGATGGATTGCTTCTTATTCAATTTTCTGGAAGATTTCGTATAGAATAGGTATTATTCCTTCCAAATATTTGGTAGAATTCTGCAGTGAAGCTACCTGGATGTGAAGTTTCCTTTGTGGAAAGACTTAGAATTACAAATCCAATTTCTTTAGTATATTTATGGCTATTCGTGTTATCACTTTCTTCTGGATGTGCTTTAGTAGTTTGTATTGTTAAAAAAATTAATTAGGAGGCCACTGGGCTGAGATAGCTCCAGCGCCTTGGGTTCTTATGCTAGCAAACTAATCAGAAGCCACCAACTCACTTCTAACTAGAGACTTTCCACTTTAACCATCAAATATTTTCTTTATCTTGCTTCCAAAAACATCTTATAAAAGTTTTCCCCTTGTTCCCTCTCATTAGAGCCCAAAGTGATTTGGTGCTGCCCAATTCATGAATCACTATCTGCTCAAATAAACTCTTCAAAATTTTAATGTGCCTAAGTTTCTTTGTCACAGTATCTTTCAAGAAATTTATCCATTTTCTCTAAATTGTAAAATTTATTGGCATAAAATTGTTAGAGTATTCCCTCCATTATACTTTTAATATTTGCAGAATCTGTAGTGATGTCACCTTTCTCCTGCTTGATATTGGAAATTTGTGACTTCTCTTTCCTTTGCTCATCATTCTGGCTGAAGTTTGATCTCAAAAAACCCAGACTTCAGTTTCATTAACCTTTTTCCCCATTGTTTTTCTACTTTTGAATTCATGGATTTCTACCCTGATATTTACTACAGACAATGGTTTGACATTACAAAAGTTTGAGTGCTATACACATTCAGTAGAAAGCAGTACGATTTTCTCTGGTGGTGCAGGGTAGTAGCGGTGGCAACTCCCAGTCAGCTACATGATCATTTTATCTCCTTTATTGGTTTATTAGCTATAACTCTTTGTCATATTATTAAAGTAGTTGCTTTAGGGTTTTTAGTATACATCTTTAACTTTTTACAGTCCACCTTCAAGTTATATTATAACTCTTCACATATAGTATAAGAACCACCTCCTCAATTCAAGCAATTCTCCTCTCAAGTAGCTGGGATTACAGGTGTGCGCCACCACGCCCAGCTAATTTTTTGTATTTTTAGTAGAGATGGGGTTTCGCCATGTTGGCCAGGGTGGTCTTGAACTCCTGACCTCAAGTGATCCACCTGCCTCGGCCTCCCAAAGTGTTGGGATTATAAGCATGAGCCATTGCTCCCAGCCAGAACATTTTAATAGCATACTTCAACTTTTCCCCTTTCCTCTTTGTTCTATTGTTGACATATGTTAACTGTAGACATGTTATGAATCCCACAACACATTGTTTTCATTTTTTTTACTTCAAATAGTTGATTATTTTTTAAAATGTTTAAATAATAACAAAAAACTTCTATACAATTACCCAGATATTGATCATTTTGATTGTTCTTCATTCCTTTATGTAAATGCACATTTTTATCTGGTATTATTTTCCTTCTGCTTGAGGCAGTTCCTTTATGTTTCTTGCAGGTTATCTGGAACTGTAAAGGCTCTAAAATGTTAGCCAATATTTTAATCTAATAATTTAACCTGCTACAGCTTCTTGGGTGTTTGTGGAAAGCATAAGACTTCTGTACATTGGACAGTTTATTACACACAGTATTAGCAATAGACACAGTATTATCGACATTTTCGTGTTAGTTCCCTAAGCCCTAATTTTCCAAGAGAGACATAAAGAAGGCCAGATGACCCCTATGCATACAGTGGGTTGAACTACAAAAGAGGAGCCCAGAGTTTACGTAATGCAAAATGTTTATAATTGGCAGCAAAAATTCTTGTTATTTTCTCTGAAGAGTGAAATTATCTTTATTACACAGGACAGGAAACATGCCTACCCTTTGCTCAAGAGGGAGATATTATCTCCCAATGCTTCTAAGACTTTACCTTCCAAAATTGTCTGCTATACAAACATTATGAACACCTTAGTCTGGAACAAACAATACTCAGTTCTTCACTTGCAAGACATGGAAATGTGGGAGAACCATGGAAAATTGTCTCCTAATGCAGGTCTGCTGGTGATGAACACTTTTGTATATCTGAAAAATGTTAATTTTATCTTCATTTTTCAATAAATATTTTTGCTGGGTAAAAAATTCTATGTTGACTTTTTTTTTCTTTCAGTACTTACAAGATATTGTCCAACTGGTTTTATAGCTTGCATTGTTTTGGAAGAGGCAGCCACTGTCAACATATGTTTATTATTTTGCATGTGATTCTTTTTTCTCTGATTGGTTTTTAAGATTTTCTCTATCACTAGTTTCCAGAAATTTGATTTTAATGTGTCTTTTTGTAATTTTCTTCATGTACCTTTAAAAAATATATGTAACATAAAATTTCTTTTTTTCTTTTTCTTTTTTTTTTTTTTTGAGACAGAGTCTCACTTTGTTGCCCAGGCATGCAATTGTATGATCTTAACTCACTGCAACCTCCACCTCCAGAGTTCAAGCAATTCTTCTGCCTCAGCCTCCCGAGTAGCTGGGATTGCAAATGTCCATCACCAAGCTTGCCTAATTTTTATATTTTTAGTAGAGATGGAGTTTCACTATGTTGGCCATGCTGGTCTCGAACTCCTGACCTCAGGTGATCCACCCACCTGGGACTCCCAAAGAGCTGGGATTACAGGTGTGAGCCACCATGCCCAGCCCATAAAATTCCATTCTAACCATTTTAAGTGTACCATTCAATGACATTAAGTACATTCACATTGTTGTGCAACTGTCACCACCACCCATTTTCAGAACCTTTTTATCTTTCCAAACTTTCCAAACTCTGTATTCCATTAAACAATAATTTCTTGCTTTCTACTCACCCAGCCACTAATAACCTCTGCTCAACCATCTGTCTTTAGTTTTCGACTATTCTAAATACCTTATATAAGTAGAATCATACTACATTTTCTTTTTGTGACTAGATTATTTCATTTAACATCATATATTCAGCATGTCATCATATGTATCAGAATTTTCTTCCATTTTAAGCCTGAATATTATTCCATTGTATGTATACAGCACCTTTTGTTTATCCATTCACCCACTGATGGACAAGACCTGGGTTGCTTCCACCTTTTGGATATTGTGATTAATGCTGCTATGAACATGGGTTTACAAATAACTGCACAAGTCCCTGCTTTTACCTCTTTAGGTGTATAACCAGAAATGAAATTGTTTGATCATAGCGAAGTCTATATTTAATTTTGTCTGGAACAGTAATGCCATTTTGAACAGCAGCTGTAGCTTTTCCATGTTTCTTTTGCTTGAGGCTTATTGACTTTTTTGTTCATGTGGGTTTACAATTTTTATAAAAAATTTTGGCCATCAAATCTTTAATTTTAAAAAATTTCTCCAGTCTTGGGTAGCTCACATGCACACACTGATCAGTGCTCAACTGAATACACCAGGGGGCTCTGCAAATATGTGGGTTATCTCTTTGTTAATTCTTTCCTGTCTGCCGGGATTCGGTCCTGTGAAATAGTTGTCTTGTTCCCTGCAGGTGGCCGGACACATCTCCTCAACTCTGCAAGATTGCTGGGCCCTACCTGAGTTCTTCCTTCCTTCACCACAGTCTGCAAACTTTCTCCAGGCAGTAAATCAGAGCAATCATAGGGCTTTTCTGTCTCTGAGAGATCACAGCCCCTTGTTGCTTAATGTTCAATGTCTTACAAACTATTGTTTCATATATTTTGTCTTTGTAGTTGTTGAGGCAGGAGAGTAAATCTGGTCCTTGTTAGGTCATCTTGGTTTAAGTGGAAGTGCATCCTAAAAAACTCTTATCCCTAGACATGAAAAGATGACAAAATGACCAATGAGATCACCTGGATTTCATCCATGCTTCTCCAATCTCCCATCTCCCATTAGCTAGCATCTCTATTTTTCCTTGGTACTTAGGATTAACCACTCCAAGTAGAACTACAACGATCTAGCTCATTTCCCTGTAATAAAGTACCATGAAATGACTCAGAGGAAAATTCCATTTCCAAATCAGTAAAAGCATTTTGTATTTGATTTTAAGGATTCCTTCATTGGTATCTAAAACACTCTACAAGCAGTGCTCTGAGTTATAGGAATGAGAAGCAAAACTCTTGAATGTGATTTCATTGCATGTGGTTGTGAAATTTATCTCTTGGGTTTTAGATCCATGTATTCTGACCAAGAAGTACCACTTAATTTTAGACCCATTTGGAGGAATATCATATATTGGTCATTTATTCAAGATATATGCAGCATTATACAGGACATCTCAACTTTGCAAGGTGTTGTTAGTTGATCTTTAACTGAGTCCTCAAATAACTTCTCCAACTTTTCATAAGAGTCTCTGTTCAGGATGATGACATGGTATGTGATAGCTCTAGTGAACCCCTGGGGAGCCCATCTATTACTCAATTTTTCTTGATAGCAATCAGTGTTTCTGGAAAACATAGATGACCTGTGATATTAGTAAATCCATGAATGATAACATGGAGAGAGAGACAAATAAAGATAATCAATCCCAGGATAAGGATATTAAGCAAGAACAAATTGCTCTTCTTTCATTGTGAGTGGAATTCAATACAATAAGCCTCCTACTAGGTAGCTGATATGCTGATATCTGTGCTCATTCTGAGAGTCCTTTCAAATATCTGTTCTCCGAAACTTTTCATCACCAACCTCCAATTTTCTTCTTTCTAGCCAAACCATTAATCAGTCTTCATAAATCTATTCAGACTCATCTCTGAGGCTATATGGATGAGGGGTGTTTTCAAAACTCTGCCCTCTGAAAGAGTTTTTCTTCTATATGTTTGTGGTGGTTTGAATGTTTTTTTCACCTCCAAAACTCACGTTGAAACTTAATCCCTAGTGCAACAGTGTTGGGAGGTGGGACCTAATGGGAGGTGTTTAGATCATGAGGACTCCATTTTAATGAATGAATTAATGCAGCTATAGAAAAAACTTATAGGAGTGGCTTCCCTCTCTTCTGTTCTTCGACAATGTGAAGACACAATATTCCTTCACTCTAGAGAGTAGCAAGGGAACACAATCTTGGAACCAGAGACCTAATCTACTGGCATCTTGATCGTGGACACCTCAGACTCCAGAACTGTGAGGGAATAAATTTTTGTCCTTTATAAATTACCCAGTTTCAGGTATTCTGTTATAATAGCACAAAACAAACTAAGATAATGCTCTATCAGAGAAAATGGAGCTTATGAAATTATAAAGTTATTGCAAACAGTTTTATTCAATTCAAGTCAATTAATCTTTATTGAGTTCCTACTGTATGCATGGAACTTCAGGCTGGTGCATGTATATTTTGTAGGATCTTACTGTATTATTTTCTCCTTAGTATTTTTTAGTAGGGAGCAATGATGAGGGCATAGGTAGTTTGAGAGAGTAGTGAGAGAGTATCAGGAATAGGCATAAGGGATTGTGAGTCACTCGTTCAAAGAACTTGTTTACGACATGAGAATTATCAAATGCCTGGTTTGACATATAACACTTTGACCTGATGATGGATTACCATGGAGTATTCCAAATTTCAAAGCTGTGTGGTATGATAGCACTAGTTTATAATGTGCTCTTTAAGTTGTATGCTCAATTATGGCTTTACAGTTAGATGTTTATTATTCACCAAGGCGTAGTAGAAAGCTAAGAGCCACTTAGTGAAAGGACAATAGCAGAAAAAGGCATACTTTTGCCTTAAACTATGATGCCTTCGCTGTGAATTTTTTTATTTATTTTATTATTATTATTATTATTATTTATCCAGGAATGCCATGGATTCCATTGAGTCTTCTGACCCATTACAGATTCTTTGAGCATGATTGGATATGCTAGATCATAAAGGTCAGGAAGCAAAATGACCAATACTATTTCCTGACTCATCTGGAAAAGATTCTTTTGCCCAGGGTCGTGCTTAAAGCTGGAAGCCTCTCGGAGACATGGGTAAATGATTCATGGCAGTGTACTCAAATGTAGCAAACACTGCCTCCAAAAGCAGAAGGGACTCACTTGGTGTTAGAACTTGCTGTTAGGAGTAGCGGAAGAAATGGAGGGATATCCCGGCAGGTGCCAGGCCACTGGACTCCCTGAAATTTTTCTGAAATATTGTTCCCTGTATTTTCATGGTATTTATCTCCCTCTGGCATATATATATATATATATATGTATATATATATATATATTTTTTTTTTTTTTTTTTTTTTTTTTGAGATAGAGTCTCGCTGTATCGCTTAGGCTGGAGTGCAGTAGAGTGATCTCTGCTCACTGCGACCTCCTTCCCCCTGGGCTCAATCGATTCTTGTGCCTCAGCCTCACTAGTACCTGGGACTACAGACGTGCACCACCACACCCGGCTAATTTTTGTATTTTCTGTAGAGACGGGGTTTCTCCATGTTGGCCAGCCTCGTCTCCATCTCCTGGCCTCAAGTGCTCGGCCCGCCTTGAACTCCCAAAGTGCTGGGATTAGAGGTGTGAGCCACGGTGCCCAACCTGTATTTCAATGATATTTAAAGTAGTTGCTTCTTGCTTTTCAAACCCCGTTTGTATATTACCGGCAATGAAGTAGGAATGCTAATATGGTTCTTGTTTGAAAGTCGGCTCACTCATGTAAGGAAGGAATTGTAGCTTCAATGAAAAGATAAATAATTTCATCAGATACGTGTGGTATGTGTGGGAGCCGGTTTTGAATACACAGAGAAGTTTAGGGGGTGTTTGAAATGCTGAGGTTCTTGGAGTCCTTTGCATATTCCAGTAAGTTCACATTCTTGGAATTATTTTCCTTTTTTTTTTTTTTTAATCCAGATCATATGTTTAACCTAAGTTACCAGGAGGATCTATAAATTCAATTAGGGGCCACCTGGATCTAAATTTGAATTCAATTTTTAATTACCCTGGGGCATAGGAGATACTGTTAGGACCATGATAGAAAAATGCTAAACTTTTGTCTGTCTCAAGAAGAGAATTTAAGGATTTGAGCTCGCTGTTCCCTTTGCTTACACTTATTTAGACAAACTCTAGGCCTTGACTTTTTACCCGTCTTCCTGTTCTTTGGAAAATTCACCATGACACTCTAAAACATTGTCTTTAAAGAGCATACTATTTTAAGTGCCAAAAAATCTCTAATTTGATTTGCTATTTTGCCACCTTGTGTACTGTAAATCTGCAGGGTCTCATGCCTGGTTTTTACTGCCTTCAACCTCCAATTACTTAGATAATAAGTCTCAGAATCCCCACATTCTCCTGAGATGCTATTGCCAACAATCCAGGCCTTATTCACACTTTCTGTATGACTTAAACTCCTCAATTGAAAACAACAAAAAATGACTTTAGATAACTTAGGTGTAAATAAACTTGTCGGAAAGTTACTCTTAGCTTACAAAATTGACAGTGAGGTTGAAGAACCAAGCTTTATAAAAGGGACAAGCAAAAAAGGAAGCTTTAGGCATTAGAACCATCTGGCTATTCCTTCTATGCTATAACGCATAGCCATAGCCACACATTGTGACCATCTGTGGACTCAGCCACCAGAAATCTAATCTAACAACAAACAGCTACTTGGAAGGCTGAGGTAGGAGGGTCACCCAGGCCTCAGGAGAGTGAGGTTGCAGTGAGCCGTGATTGTGCCTTTGCACTCCAGCCTGGAAAACAGAGTGAGACTCAGTCTCAAAAAAAATAAATACATAAAGTTCATGGCTCTTGAACAGCTTTTGCTGATTAGAACCATTGAACTAAAAGTGCAGTATTTAGTATTGTAACTCAGGCAGGTGCTAATATAAGTGGAAAATTTTCCTTACTAAATCACAAAAGGGAAATTTCCTGCTGTTTGCTAACTCTTGGGTTATTTTCTGTTTTAGAAGTTTGGATGATACTGGCAGTGTATTTGGGATATTAAGACTCAAAGGAGCAGGTCTGTGGAATAGCCCAGTTTCAGGATGGCTCCCCTTGTCTCTCTGCTCATCTTGTTCCACGTCAAACAATGAGTGTAAGAGTGGGAGAATCATTCATTGTAGAAAATAGCATGTTAAAAAATATTCATTGTAAATACATAAACATTGTGGTGGTATTTTGGACCATTTGATAGAATAGAAAAATAACTGCATTATGCAAAAATTATTTTTGTAATGAAAATTGTTGAAATAGAATTGATATTTCAAATATAATTTCTTCAAAAGGAATACTTTATATGAAATTTAAAACAGAACTCTAGAAGGGTAAAATATTTGTGAATTATCTATTTTGCCAAAGTGCTTGAATTTTTATTGCTTTTATTATTTATTTTGCTTCAGTTTCTTGCCATTCTCCGAGAGAATTCCAATGACTGGTCATTTTTAGATAGAAGTGGGTTTTAGCTTGTAAGGGCTGGTACACTGATTTTTTTTTGATTGAATAATTAATATACTTGTGGAAATCTCTGCTTAGTTTAGGTAAAACTCTGGTTTTCTTAAAAATTATAAAAGATTTGTAAAACCTAGAGATTCAAGTCATCTGAGCTTTTTTCAATGTTTAAATACAGAATTTAGATGTATTTAATTCCCATGGCCAAAGGGTAGAGTTAGAAAGTGCAATACCTTTATAATTTTTAATATTTACAGTCTATTACTTATATATTAATTACTAATTGATATTAACCACATGCTTTTTAAATATGAAGATAATATTGTGAGACTAATTTTTGTTTATTGTGAATCCTAAATACTGTATCAAGGAATTTTCAGATTTTAAAAATTACATCAGGCTGGGCCTACAGTGTAATCAGTGTTCTCTAGTTGATGTTCCCATTGATATGAAAGGTAGTATATGTTGCATTTATCAGAGCGAACCTCTTTTAGGTTTACTTTAAATTTTATTGTTAAATGCAGAGACAGATTACAGTTCAGCATCTTCCCATCCAGAAGCATGATAAGATTCCTGTTGTGTTCTAGAACTAACTGTTGCACGTAAAATGTTGAGTGAAAATGCAAATAGTTTATAACCTTTTAGGATTTTTGTTTTATGCAGAATTCATCTCTCTAACTTGTATACCTTCTTGATTCCTTTAAAAAATATCTAACACTTAACACAAGTATGAATAGAACTAAACTAGAAACTGAATTAATCACTAATTTAATTCAGGCATTACTAATTAATGTACCTATCAGTCTATTAGGGCTACGGAAGGCACAATACCAGTCCTGATTCTAAGCCACTCTTCATACTAATTGGCAAAGCATGACATATCTGTGGTAGAGAGTGAGAATATAATTCAAATCTAAACAGGTGCTATAGCTATTCAAAATTTAAACTTTGATCAATGGGATCAATATTCATGACATATTATTAAGCAAAAAACACATTTATAGTAGAATTCAATTTTTATTCTGTATATATTATTTATTACAGATAGGACTATATATGTTTTATAGAGAAAGGACATATATAAAGGACATGCAAATATATATAATATACATAAAATATTCACTGAAGTACAGTATCTTTGGAGGTTAGCCAGTAATTAGCACCTTTTCCTAAAGTTATAAGAATAACATGCTCAAGCTTGTTTTCCCAATGTCTAACAGTTTTGGATATTGAAACTCGTGTATCTAGGAAAAATAAATTAATCACCAGCTGTGCAGTGAAGTGTGTGCCCCAATATTTGGTGTTAGCATCCAACATTCATGCTGCACATTGCAGAAATTGGTAGAAATGCCCTTCAGAATGCTCTTGCTACTGAAAATGGGAGAAAGATGAAAGAGGACAGTACAGAATTAAGGGACTATTTACCCAATTTTCAACGTTTAGCTGGAAAGGAACATGGAATAGTCTAAAAGAGTGGGATATATAACTGTAATGAGTTTGTAAGTTATATTGTTGCAAAATGATGAACAGAGTTTTATTGTTTTAGAGGTTTCCTGTTGATCTTTGTTTTTTTTTAAAAAAACCTGACCTCAGTGGATTTCACGGCTGTAGGATGGTGGCCACTGCCACCTACAGACCAGAAGTGTGAAGTGGCGTGGCTCTTTTGCAGTGGAGTCCCTCAGAGACTCGGCATCAAACGTTCTATAAAAAGCAATTTTTCAAGCAAAAGTTGAAAGAATTTCAAATGAAATAGTAAATATTCTAGAGAAATAAAAAATGAATAATCACATTTTCCCCAGAGATCACTCTTTGACAGTATATAGCATATATATTAGAAGATTAACACCTAATTTATATTTTGAGTCAGACATACACATCTGACCACAAGACTGGACCCACCTAATATTTCCTTTATTCACCTCATTTTTTATGAGGTGAATATGTGGAGGGGAGAATTACATTTTGCAACAGAAATTTGCATCCACAATGAAATACACACTCACACAGACACACATATATATGATTGAAGGGACAAGCAGATGGTAGGTAGGTAGGTAGATAGACAAGCAGACAGAATTATAGATATGAAAGGGGGGAATCTATACAGACAAAATGTTTATATAGATTATCTCTTAGTATTAGAATTACAGATTATTTCTGCTACTTTGATTCTTCTTGCTTCATTTTATTTTAAAAATTCTACAATGAAAATATACTCCTTGTGTAGGGATTTTTTTCTAACTTGAAGGCAGAGCTTTGAAAATCAATGCCCGCATAACATAAAGCTTTTAAAGTCTTGCTCCAGGTAGAAAAGAAAATACTAAATCTTCAAATATTCCTGGCATACATTATTTTTTAATTTAAACATACACTTAAAAGCACCCAATTTTATTATTTTTCCAAAAGATTTTAGAAAATTATACACAGTAATGCCTCATTCCATTGACTGTAAGAGTTTCATTTCTCATAGTAACCATGTATACTAAAATTTAATCAGTAACAGATAATCTATTATGTCATGGTATTAAAAGGTTACATAGGTAAAGGTTAATAATCAGATCGTGAATTTTGGCTAAACATCATTCATTCATTTAATAAAAACATATTGAGTACCTACCATGACAATGATACTAGAAATACAAAGGTGAACACATAAATACAAAAACAAATATAACAAAGAAAAAAAACAAAAAAAGTCAACTCAAGATTTCTGGGTAGTTTTGTTGACCATTGTGCATATTTTCTGTGCTTCGCTGAATATCCAACTCTAATTAGTTGTCTCAGAACAGAGCTAAGTAGGACTCCGTCACTTGCCAAGAAACAAACAATGATACTCCAAGATCCACAAGAGTAAAAATCACTGCAAGGTCCCCTCCCTGCCATTTCAGGATTTAAAATATCTGTGAAAAATGGAGGGACTCTTTTTGAGTCATTGATAGAGAAATAACATAGATCCTAAGGTTTCCTTCAACCTCTTCCTGCCCCACCCCTGCCCCTCTGCAGAATTGGTCCTGCCCAGTCTCTGAGCTGGTGAGAATGAAGCCTGGTGTCCACTAGGCCCTTAGCTCTGAAAGCAGGTGTCTGGTTTGGGGTTTGATGCCTAACACTGTTATCCATTGCCCAGGGAGCTGCAGGCCTCTCTATAAACCTATAATCTGTGTCCATGTGGTTGAGTTTCTTGCCTGGTTCCTGGTTTATGTCTGAATCTTGTCTAATCCTAGATTTTCTTGCTCTCTGCTGATGTGGCAGGGGTTTAAACACCAAGCCTGGCTCCTGCTGCTCTTCTCCAGTGGGTTGGACCCTGCCCTCTCTCTCTGGTCTCTGCCTCCTGCAAAACGAACTTTCCTGAAACCGAAAGGAACCCATCCATCATATATGGTCAGTGTCAGAGACTGTGCCCTCAACACTTAAAGTTTCAAGACCTTTGGAAATTGATGTCATTGCTGTCCTGCCCTGGGTGTCACATCCCCCAGGGATTTGGCATTAGGATGACTGCTCCTTACCTGGGGGCAGGCCTATCATCAGGTTGGTTTCCTCCTTTCCAACTTTGTCTATTAGAGGCATATCCCACTTTCCCCACTTAGCCGGTGCCTACAGACTTGCCCTTGAGCTCCCATCTTCTTAGGAACCAGGGTTATTTGCTCTCCATTCACTTTTTCATTCCCATGGCTCCATCTTGTAATTTTGCCCAATGTGCATAATGTATAAAGTTCCATCATGAGACATTCATGAGGGATATATCCTGAGGCCACCTGATGCCCAGCTTGCTTTCCTTCCTTCCTTCCTTCCTTCCTTCCTTCCTTCCTTCCTTCCTTCCTTCCCTCCCTCCTTCCCTCCCTCCCTTCCTTCCCTCCTTCTTTTTTTTTTTTTTTTGACAGAGTCTCGCTTTGTCACCCAGGCTGGAGTGCAGTGGCATGATCTCGGCTCACTGCAAGCTCCGCCTCCTGAGTTCAAACCATTCTCATGCCTCAGCCTCCCAAGTAGCTGGGACTACAGGCACCCGCCACCACGCCTGGCAATTTTCTTTTTTTTTTTTTGTATTTTTAGTAGAGACGGGGTTTCGCCATGTTGGGCAGGTTGGTCTCAATCTCCTGACCTCAGGTGAGCCACCTGCCTCGGCCTCCCAAAGTGCTGGGATTACAGGCGTGAGCCACTGTGCCCGGCCTATGACCAACTTTCAAAGCTACTCTGGTACTTCATAGCAGTGATTATGCACGCAAGAGAAAATAGGAAACAGCAATAGCAACACTGGGTTGAGTGCGGACACAGTGCACTCGGCATGTGGGTCAGTTTCTCAGCTGGCTAAGGAAATCGTGCACACCAACTTGAGAGTCTTCAGATTTCAAAACTGCAAGTAAGCCCTGCAGTATGATTCTCCAAATCCTTTCAAGCAGTTGCAAACCCGCAAATCAATGTTTCTCTGTTTGTATGTTTCACAATGCCTTCCATCTTATATCCAGCATGGGAAAAATGAATTCATTGTCACAAGCGGTTCATTTGCCATGGCTTGAACCCGATGAATGCAACGTGCAGAAGCTGAGATATGCTGTCTTTGTGTTCAGTTCTGGCCCGAGCTTCCCCAAAGCAAAACTCAGCCTTCCTATTGACCATTTATAAAGGTCTCATGGTTAACAATAATTTACATTTTATACATATGAAGTTATCATTAAAGAACCAAAGTGAACTGCATTTGATGTTGTAGAGACAGGTCATTAAGCTGACAGAGGAGGGTTCTGGGAGAACCAACAGCACTGACATCAGCCATCCTTCTCATTCTTAATTTTAAAGGTTTTGAGGAACTTATCATATAATTGGTTTTCATTTATTTTTCTTTTCTTGAGTTTCCATTTTACTTCTAATTTAAGCATGGAGGCTATGTTATTATCAATTTGTAAATGATTTCTTGAATTACATTTAAAATATTAGGTTTTGTAATCTTTCTACTCTCTTTATAGAAGTTTCTGTGTTGGGAACAACCATTTTTTAAAATCTGGTTTCATAAAGAATGTTATAATACTTTTCTTAATATAGGTATAAGTCTAGATATTTTTTGACTTCTAAGCCTTTGTGACATCTGGTAGATAAAGTCACTTAAAAGTTTCTAAGTAAATATCACCTCATTTGATATTTTTCCACATCTGAATACAACACAAGTAACTTTGGTTAGAGACATAGGAAGATAGAAAGAAAGAAAGAAAGAAGCCTGAATTTAATACAAAATATCTTTTATGTTCCTACTTTACATATAATATTATCCAAGTGACTTAGGATAAAACTTTAAGCATTTATTCACTGACTCACTCAGCACCGCTATTGAACCTCTACCATGTACCAGACACCCTGATAGCTGCTAGACAGTGGCCTACACTAGTGAATATATCATGAGAAATGCCTTCTTCCTATAACTTGTAATCAGTGGATTCAAAGAACCCTAAGTTACTATTTACTATGTATATTCATGATGATTATTGCTTTACATGGATTATTATTTAATCTTCAAAACCATTATTATCTGTTTTTTAATTTTTGTAACTTTTAAGTTCAGCGGTACATGTGCAGGATGTGCAGCTTTGTAACATAAGTAAATGTGTGTCATGGGGGTTTGTTACCCAGGTTATTTCATCACCCAGGTATTAAGCCTAATGTCCATTAGTTATTTTTCCTGATCCTCTCTCTCTTCCCACCCTCCACCCTCCGATAGGTCCCAGTGTCTGTTGTTCCCCTCAATGTGTGCATATGTTCTCATCATTTCGTTCCCACTTGCAAGTAAGAACTGGCCATATTTGGTTTTCTGTTCCTGTGTTAGTTTGTTAAGGATAATGGCCTCCAGCTCCATTTGTGTCCCTACAAAGGACATGATCTCATTCTTTTTTTATGGCTGCATAGTATTCCATGTATATGTACCATATTTTCTTTGTCTAGTCTATCATCAATAGGCATTTAGGTTGATTCCATGTCTTTCTTATTGTGAATAAATAGCAAATCATAAACATACATGTCCATATGTCTTTATAATATAATGATTTATATTTCTTTGGGTATATACCCAGGAATGGAATTGCTGGGTCTAATGGTATCTCTGTCTTTAGGACTTCGAGGAGCTGTTACACTGTCTTCCACAATGGTTAAACTCATTTACACTCCAACAGTGCATAAGCATGTCATTTTCTCTACAAGCTAGCCAGTAACTCTTATTTTTTGGCTTTTAAATAATAGTCATTCTGACCAGTATGATATGGTATCTCATTGTGGTTCAGATGTGCATCTCTCTAATGATCATTGATGTTGAGTTTTTTTTATATGACTGTTGGCCATAGGTATGTCTTCTTGAGAAATATCTGTTTATGTCCTTTGCCCACTTTTTAATGGGGTTGTTATTTTTCCTTATAAATTTGTTTAAGTTCCTTATAGATGCTGGATATTAGACCTTTGTCAGATGGGTAGATTGCAAAAATTTTCTCCCATTCTGTAGGTTGTATGTTCACTCTTTTGATAGTTTCTTTTGCTATGCAGAGGCTCTTTAGTTTAATTAGATCCCATTCTTCAATTTTTGCTTCTGTTGCAATTGCTTTTGCAAAGCCATTATTGTCTCTGTTTTATATGGAACCTGAGACAAGAGAGGTATGTAGCATACATGAAATTGCACAGTAAGTGGTGAAAGCAGAATTTGTATCTAGTTGCAGTCTAACTATAATGCTGTTGAGTGAAGAAAATGAGATGATTCCTCCCTTCTGTTTTCTTATTAGCTAAAGAATAAACAAAATAAGGTATATGAAGGTTGGTAGTGGAGGTACTCCCTAAGTTGCCCAGACATTCTCACGGATTAGTGAGTAATAATCGGGATAATGTGGGCAGGGAGGAGGGCAGTATTTGAAGTGGAGATCTATGACGACTCAGTCTCTGGGGACAGTGCTGGATCAACTTGATTCTTCACCTTAAAGAAGACCTTGTCCTCCACAGCATGACTTTCAATTAATTTCTCCTCCCCAGCATTTTGCATTTCAGAACTGAGAAGTGCTTCAGGGAACAAAATTTCTATGGATGCATTAAACATAAGAAAATCAGGCTGTGGGACACTTAGACTGACCATCTGAAGAGCTGTATAAAACCCTGGATTCAAACAGGGAAGGGCCATTTTCTTTCTTTCTTTCTTTCTTTTTTTTTTTTTTTTTTTGAGACTGCATTGTTCTTGAGACTGAGTCTCACTCTGTCACCCAGGTTGGAGTGTAGTGGTCAATCCTGGATCACTGCAACTTCTGCCTCCCAGGTTCAAGCAATTCTCTGGCCTCAGCCTCCCGAGTGGCTGGGATTACAAGCGTGCGCCACCAGGCCTGGCTAATTTTTGTATTTTTAGTAGAGATGGGGTTTCACCATGTTGGCCAGGCTGGTCTCGAACTCCTGGCTTCATGTGATCCACCCTTCTCGACCTCCTAAAAGTGCTGGCATTACAGGCATGAGCCACCGTGCCCAGCTGGGTCATTTTCTTTTTATGTATTTTTTTTTTTTCAGTTGAAAATCTGAGATTGAAAACCAAATTAATGAATGGAGAAATCTCACATGCTTCATGCCAAGAGTCACTCATTACAGAGCAGGGGAAAGCCTTCCTTTAATTGAAATAAACTATCACAAGTGAAAAAGAGTATTGGAGGAGAGTTTATTTATGTATCTCAGGTGAAACCATCACCCACCCTGTGCACCGAGGCTGTCAAGCTTCCTCAGGGGACAGCACTCCATCTGCCTCAAGTGAAGTTAATCTCCTTTCTATCTTTTTAAAACTAAGGTGAGCAGATGTTTCTTTTCAAATCAACATGTCCTTAGTCTTTGACTTACATAGCGAGCCACATACTGCCGAGCATAAACCACTTAACACCAAAAGGAAACTACATATTCTATTAGTTCAATGAAACAAAGTGGAAAATAAGCTAAATGCAGAGCTTTTTATTACCATTAAATAGTTGATCAAAATAAGCAGAGTTAAATAAAAGGGACAAACCTGAGTAAATAAAGTTTTCATTTCTGCCCAGGAATATAAATATATATATAAATATAAGATAGAAGTCATGTTGATTATTCCAGCATTTCCCAACAGATAGTTGAGGAATTTCTTTCCAATATTTTTATTGCACCACCTGGTGGAATATTTTCCATATGATTGATATTTGAGAAGCAAATAAGCGCTGATTTCTCTTCATCTTTTTTGTGTTTTACTTAGAAGGTTGGTTAAATTAGGGAGAATTTCATGTTGCTATTTCTACTCTCTTTTATGAATAACTTGCCTTGCCCTTCAGTTAAGTGTTCGTAGAGAAGACTATCTAAATTATTCACTGTGGAAGTACACATCATCACATGTGATGGGATATTGTTAATCGTTAAACAAGAAGGAGGCTCTGGTGCATGCTACCACATGGATAACCTTGAAAACATTATGCTAAATGAAATAAGCCAGACACAAAAGTGCAAATATTGCATGATTCCACTTATATGAAGTTCCTAGAATAAGAAAATTCATAGATAGAATGTGGCCTGGAGTTTACCAAGAGCTGGATATAGTGGGGGAAAGGGGAGTTAATTGTTAGTGGGCACAGAATTTCACTTTGGGATGATAAAAAGTTCTGAAAAAGATTGTGGTGCTATTTGCATAACAGTGTGATTGCACTGAATGTCGCTGACCCATACACTTAAAAATGGTTGAAATGGTAAATTTTACATTACATTCATTCTATCATAATTTTTTTCCAACTTTTATTTTACTTTCAGGGTGTGTATGTGCAGATTTGTTATGTGGGTAAACTGTGTATTGTGGGGGTTTGGTATACAGATTATTTTGTCACCCAGTTAGTGGGAATAGTACCTGACAGGTAGTTTTTCAAACCTCATTTTCCCTCCACCCTCAAGGTAGGCCTGGGTCTATTGTTCCCTTTTTTGTGTCCATGTGTACTTAATATTTAGCTCTCACTTATAAATGAGAACATGCAGTATTTGGCTTTCTGTTCCTGCATTAATTCACTTAGAATAAAGGCCTCTAGCTCCATCTGTGTTGCTGCAAAGACATAATTTTGTTCCTTTTTATGGCTGTATAGTATTCCATGGTGTATATGTACCACATTTTCTTTATCCAGTCCACCACAATATTTTAAAATTGCCAAATAAAGTACACATGAACATATATATTTTACATACTTAATTCCTAAGTAGCAAATAATTTTGTTAAAATTCTTTCTAAGAAGTTCAAATTCTAAATCTTAACCTCATATATATGTTGAGAGAATCAAAGTAGCTGTGGAAATATTTAAGAAATTAAGAGTAAGAAGGCAGAGAAAAAAATGGTGAACAGGCCATGTGCAGTGGCTCATGCCTGTAATCCCAGCACTTTGGGAGGCTGAGGTGGGCAGATCACGAGGTCAGGAGATCGAGACCATCCTGGCTAACACAGTGAAACACCGTCTCTACTAAAAACACAAAAAATTAGCCAGGTGCGGTGGCGGGCGCCTGTAGTCCCAGCTACTTGGGAAGCTGAGGCAGAAGAATGGCGTGAACCCGGGAGGCGGAGCTTGCAGTGAGCCAAGATAGCACCATTGCACTCCGGCCTGGGCAAAAGAGTGCAACTCCATCTCAAAAAAGAAAAAAAAATGGTGAACACCAGCTCTGTTAATCATACAGCTTTGGACAGTGTGAGGAGACCAATCACTTCAAATTGCCCTCAAAAATATTGGCAGGATAGAGAGTTAGCAGCATTTTGGACTTGTCTGAGAATTAAAATGTCCTTTTAATTTATTTTCCAATTTAAAAAATTTGTGGTAAAACACACATAATGTAAAGTTTACCATCTTAATCATTTTCAAGTGTACAGTTCAGTGGTATTAAATACATTCATAATGTGTCACTATCGCCACCATCCATCTCCTGAACCCTTTTTATCTTGTAAAACTGAAATCCTACACTCATTAAATAATAACTTCCTATTACTCCCTTAACCTTGGCACTTGGCAACAACCATTCTACTTTCTGCCTCTATGATTTTGACTATGCTGAGTACATCATATTAGTGCAATCACATAGTATTTGTCTTTTGTAACTGGCTTATTTCATTTATAAAGTCCTCAAGTTTCATCCATGTTGTAGCATATATCAGAATTTTCATTTTAAAGGCTAAATCATGAAGGAATAGAAAATCTGAATATACCTATAACTTGTAAGTGGAATAAATCAATAATCAAAAATTTTCCAATTAAGAAAAGCCATGGACCTGATAGTTTCACTGGTAAATTCTATCAAATATTTAAAGAACTACCAACAATTTTTACCAAACTTTTCTAAAAACTTGAAGAGAAGGGAACACCTCCTAACTCATCAGAGTCCTGATACCAAAACCAAAGACACTATGAGAAAACAAAACTACAGACCAGTAGCTCTTATGCACATTGATGCAAAAATACTAAAAAAATTACTAACAAACCAAATTCAGCAGCATACTAAAAAGATTATACACTATGGCCAAGTAGAATGAATTCTTGGAAGGCAAGGATGGTTCAACATATGAATATCAATCAATGTAATACATTACATTAACAGAATGAAGGAAAAAACATATAATCATCTCAATGGATGCAGAAAAGGCATTTAACAAAATTCAAAACCGATTCATGGTAATAACACTTAACAAACTACGAATAGAAGGAAATTACCTCAAAATAACAAAAGCCACATATGAAAAAAACCCCAGCAAACATCATATTCAATGGTGAAAGACTAAAAGTTTTTCTCTAGGATTGGGAACAAGACAAGGATGTCCACTTTCACCAATTCTAATGAACATAGTACTAGAAGATATATTCAGAGAACCTAGGCAAGAAAAAAAAGGGGCATTCAAATAAGAAAGGAAGAAGTAAAATTATCTCTGCAGATGACCAGATATTATATTCCTAAAGATTTCACACAGTTGTTAGAACTAATAAATGAATTCAGCAAATAGGATACAAAGTGACAAATAAAAAAATCAGCTGCATTTTATACACTAATAATGAACAATTAAAAAAGGAAATTATGAAAACAATTCCACTTATAATAGCATCAAACATAATAAAATACTTAGGAATTAATTTAACCAAGAAGATGACAGACTAGTATAATGAAAACTATAAAATACTGCTGAAAGAAATTAATGAAGACATGAATAAATGGAACCACATCCCATGTTCACAGATTGGAGGACTTAATATTGTTAACATGTTAATACCACACAAGGTGATCTATAGATCAATGTATTCCCTATAAAAGTTCCAATGACATTGTTTGCAGAAATAAAAAAACCCTCATTTTAAAATTTATATGCAATCTCAAGAGACCTGGAATAGCAAAAACAATCTTGAAAAATAACAAAGCTGGAAGACTGACACTTTCTTATTCCAAAACTTACTGCAAAGCCACAGTAATCAAAACAGTGTTGTACTGTCTTAAAGACAGACATAGAGACCAATAGAATAAACTAGAGAGATCAGAAATAAATCCTCACATACATGGTAAAATCATTTATGACAAGGGTGCCAAGACCATTCTATGGAGAAAGGACAGTCTTTTCAACAAATGGTGGTGGGAAAATTATACATCCATATGCAAAAGAATGAAGCTGAACCCTTACCTAACACCATATTCAAAAATTACCTCAAAATGTAACAAAGACCTAAATGTAAGACATGAAACTAGAAAACTCTTAGACAAAAACATAAGCAAATGATTCAGAACATTGGATTTGGTAGTGATTTTTAAATATGACACTAAAGACACAAGAAATTAAAAAAGACCATAAAAAATTTTTAAAAATGTGCACCAATGGATGACCTTTCGACTTAATTAAAAAATTTGAAAGCACAAGGAATTACTTTTTAATTGCCATGATTTAAAAGTAGACATATTTAAGTTTTAACTTTGCATTTAATTTTATATGATGAAATTTATAGGTACATGAGAGAAGAGAGAAAGTGTTATCTTTTTTGCATAAGAATGTAATTTCAGAAATGTAATGATGCAAATTTTTGAATCCTTATGAGATGTATCTGGATGGGCTAAAGTAGGTGTGGAATGGCTCTCCTGGGAGCTCTGTCACAAAGGAAGTCTCTTGTCGAAAATTCAACTTTTACATTGACAGGGCTCTACTGTTTTGGAACACAATTTGACCATTCTTTAAAATGTTAAGCATACTATTACCATATAACACCTCTGTATTATAATTGCCCTACATCTAAGGGCAATCAAACTGAAAAATTTATTCCAATGAAAGAAAAATAACATTTGGAGGCTTAATGAAAATTTTTTTGGTACTAATGCAAAATCAGACCTAGTACTTCTAGGTGTATAGAATTTAATTGCCCTGGGATATACGACAATTTAACTGCCATGGATATAGGGCAATTATAACACAAGGGTGTTAATTGTTAATTGCCCTATATCTAAGGGCAATTCCACCCTTAGACATACACAAGAAAAATAAAAACAGATGTTCATATCAAAACTTAGACATAAATGTTCAAAGTAGCATTATTTATAATCACCAAAAAGTGAAAATAATGGAAATGTCCATCAACACATGTGTGAATAAATAGAATGTGCCAATATTCATACAATGGAATACTACTCAGAAACAAAAAGGAAGTGCTGATCCATGTTATAATATTGACAAACCTTGAAAACATTATGCCAAGTGAAATAAATCAATCACAAAGACTATACACTGTATAATTCCATTATGGAATATCTCCAGAGAAGGTAAATCTAGAGAGTCAGAAAATAAATTATTGTTTGCCTAGGGCCAGGAGTAAGAGGTTGGGAAGTAACTGATAATAGGTATGAGGATTCTTTTGGGGTTGATAAAAATGTTTCAGAACTGATTGTGGTGTTGGTTGCATAACTGTGAATGCACTAAAGCCAATGAATAGCACAATTTAAACTGGGAATTACATAGAATGTAAATTATATTTCAATAAAGTTGTTAAAATGGGGGATCTGGCATTCTGATTTTTTAAAAAATATCTATTTTGGAGATAATATTTAGTTGTTAGTTGGTGAAATTATACACCTAGATGTACTAGGTCTGCTTTCACTTTAGTAGCAAAAAATAATTTGCATTAAGCCTCCAAATGCTTTTTTTTGTCTTTTATTAGAATAAAGAAGTTAAAAATCTACCTTCTGTAAAATTAAATCCATTAAATTGCTTCAGGAGTCAGAGTTATTTGAAAAAATATTTTTATATTTATAATATAATAAGAGAAGAGGGTCTTGCTATGTTGCGCAGGCTGATCTTGAACTCCTAGGCTCAAGCACTCAGCCTCCCAAAGTGCAGGGAGTTCAGGCATGAGCCATTATGTCTGGCCTGATGCTTATATTTTTGATTGAGGAATAGAAACTTAGTGTTAGGTGAATTAGTGCCTGCAAGGCTTGACAAGACGCAAAGTCAATCTGAAGGCAGCGTGAGCTACCCACCACAAGCTCTTGTGTATCACGTGCCCCTTAGAGAAAAATCCTAAAACTGCTACCAAGAAAACTTACAGATGTACCCCCACCCATGAAATATAATCACAAAAGTTTAATCGTAAATTGCAAGCCAATTTTATTCTTAACTTTATGAGACAAAAGAAACAAACAAACAAACAAACAAAAAAACTTCTATCAGCCCGACCTGGGGCTCTAGGATAGAATTAAGCCCTAATAGATGAAGGCATCTATGGTCTAGAATGGTTCTAGTTTTCTACTATTTTACGGAGAGCCAAGACTCAAATTATTTTCTGCATTTGGTGATGCAGATAACTTTGGTTAAGAAAGGTACTAATTTGTTTGCCTTTTGAGATATGATCCTAATTTTCTGAATACAGCTGTTTTTTCACATGTCATGCAATAAACAGTATTTTCACAGGGCACACAGCTAAAAAAAGAACACAGTCTTCTCAGTTTTAAACCCAAGAATTAGAAACTGTGAAAGGCCACTATTAACTCCATTTTTAAAGAGACTCTAGCAAAATTGGATAATAGCAATTTTCACAATTATCATACAATCCTTTTGGTGATTTGTTGATATCTTTTATTTCTGTTCTTCCAGAAGATCAGATCTTTAGAGCATCATCAGAGAAAAGGTCAAATTCACCAACATGCTCATTTTTCAGAAAAACATATTTGTTTGAGACCATCTTACTTTAAAATTAAGTGTTTAACAAAAACAACACCATTAAGTTACAGCCATATCAGTGTGGTTTTTTTGCTCCATATAATTATTGTTTTGTAAATGAAGTCCTGTCATTAAGCTTTAGTTCCACGGAAACTAATATTCTGGAAGACCTACCTTTTAACAGCACTGGGAACCTCTTCAACGTTCATAAATCTCATACTTGGAGCTGACCAAGAGGAAAGAGAGCCGTAGAAAGCGCCTGGGTTCAGCCATTCTGGCGATGGATAAAGGTCTTCTGAAGTCTCTGCTGGTGTGTGTGTTGGGCAGCAGAGCTGGCTTCCTGCCTCCAATTAACTGGTAAATAATATTACAGTCTGGGCTGTTCTGAGCCCAGCTAAGATGGTTTTAGAGTGCTGTTTCTCAGAGAGGATACAGAAAGCTAATCAGAATTGTCAGCATAATTCCTCCCTGCTTAGTGTCAGGAAAGGAGCCTTGTTTATTTCAAATTACTGTGCTCAATAAATATTATTTTGCCATGGGTCACCAGAAACAAAGGTGAACCTACAACGAGTAGTAAGAAAATCTCAAGACATTGTTAACAGTGTTAAATAAAGTTCAGTTCTTCTAAATTAGATTAATTGAGCACCTACTACTGTATATAAAAAGCACCAGCTTGGAATCTGAAGATAGCAAGAAGAATAAGATAATGTCCATTTTGCAAGATAGGTGAAGGGATTGGTGACATTAGGCAAGACACAACCTTTCTTTGGGCCTTAGCTGCCTCACCTGTGAAAGGTGAGGATTTGACCACTTGCTTTCTAAGGTTCCTTTCAGGTTAGAAAGCATTTTGAAAAGCAAACAAGGCTGGGCATGGTGGCTCACGCTTGTAATCTCAGAACTTTGGGAGGCTGAAGCAGGCAGATCACCTGAGGTCAGGGGTTTGAGGCAAGCCTGGTCAACATGGTGAAACCCCGTCTCTATTAAAAATACAAAAATTAGCTGGGCATGGTAGTGCATGCCTGTAATCCCAGCTATTCCAGAGCCTGAAGCAGGAGAATCACGTGAGCCAAGGTTGTGCCACTGCACCCCAGCCTGGGCAACAAGAGCGAGACTCCGTCTCAAAAAAAAAGAAAAAAAAAGTAAACAACAGAATGTCCTTATTCCAGCCATCCCTAAAAAGCAGAGTTAGCTTTACCTTAAATTCCATATTTTAAGTGATAGTCACACACATAAAAGAGAAGCATCTATATGGTCATATTGTTGAAATGATTCTTTGTTGTTTGTATCAGAATTTTGCAGATTATATTTTTTGCTGCCAACTTTTCTTATTCCACCAAGCAGGATAAGCCACATTTTTTTTTTTTTTTTTACTGTGAATACACTTTATTTAGTCATTTTTGTTTAGAGTTGAAACTCTGGGAATTCAACATTTATATCCTTGCCTGTGAGCTTCATGTAGACACCAGAAAAAGTTTCAACGTTGCGTTCCACATTGTTTTGCTGCGCTTTGTCCAAATGAGCCTTTATGAGACGGCTGCCATCCAGTTTCACGTGGATTCTCTTGCCCACAATTTCACTTGGGAAGACCAAGTCCTCGGGGATTGAGTCATGCATGGCTTTCAGGGTACGGCTCCTGGGATGCTTTTGCTTATTTTTTGTACAGCTTTTTCGGGTTGGCTTAGGCAGAATTCTCCTCTGAGCAATAAAGACAACATGCTTCCCCCAAACTTTTTCTCCAATTCACGTACTAGCCAGACTTGGATTTTCTGGAAAGATTTCAGTTGAGGAAAGGGAACAAAAATTATGATAGCTTTCCCACCACCACCATCTTCAGTTTCCTTGGCTGCTGTAATATTCAGCTCCCTGAACTGAACCTTGAGGTGTGAGTTAATCTCCAGCTCCAGAAGAGCCTGGGAGATACCGGACTTGAACTTGTCTGGCTTCTCGCTCTTGGGCTTCATGATCCTGGTGCTCGACTAAACATGGCCTTCTCCTTGCTGAGTGCCACCTTAGGAAAAGTGAAACCACGTTTTAAAACCAATTTGTCAGGAATTCATAATCATTTTCTAGCTAAGATAGGGTGAGACCCCTTTTCTTCCCTATACATTTTTAGATATCTAAAACCCTGTCCCATGTGGGGATGATGGGGTGTACAGGGGCTACCTTGGTTAGTGTGGGTCCCCCAGAGTTAGCATGCTGGGAAGGTTTGTTACCCGGAGTTGCAGGTGACTGCAGTCAAGGCTGTGCACAGAACCAAGAGCAGATGATGGCAGATTGGCCAGAAAAGGGAGGGCCAATGGGTTACCAAAAGCATTATCAGGCTGGGTGCGGTGGCTCACACCTGTAATCCCAGCACTTTGGGAGGCCGAGGCAGTGGATCACCTGAGGTCAGGAGTTCAAGACCAGCCTGGCCAATATGGTGAAACCCCGTCTCTACTAATAATACAAAAATTAACCGGACATGGTGGCACATGCCTGTAATCCCAACTACTCGGGAGGCTGAGGCAGGAGAGTTACTGGAACCTGGGAGTCGGAGGTTGCAGTGAGCTGAGATCACACCACTGTACTCCAGCCTGGGCGACAGTGCAAGACTCCGTCCCCCCCACCAAAAAAAAGCTCAATATCAGAGGTGTCCCCTGAGACTTAGAGTGAAGTAACACATATTAGGACAATCATGGAGACTAAGTAAACAGAGAAGGCAAAGCAGGAGGCTGATTCTGGAAAATACCTAGGACCAGGTAGGTCCGGGCTGGGAGATGCTGTGGGAATATAATCAGGTCTAAAGGGCTGGCAGGAGAGACAGGTGTGTGAGCTTGGAGGACTGAGACTTGGGGGACAGAAGAATGTGGTGGAGGACCGTGTGTCATCCTTGAACAAAGACAAAGACCACCTGTTCGAGCCTCGAGAGCTTCATTTGGAAGCTGAGGCAGAGTCATTGACCTGACTGTAGTGATGTGGCCTCATGAGTGAACTGGACCCCAGTACCAGTGCTGGCAGTAAAGGAACAAGAAAATGTCCTAAGGCTCCCATCAATGACTCCGGATCTCATGGGTGTTGCTCCTTTGCCCTGCTAGGACCTGAGAGAGCTGATGCCTTGAAGTCATTCAACAAAGGTGTTCTGCTCATGGTTTTTCTCCCTTAGGTGCAGGGCTAGCACTGGCCACCAGGGAGGCTGTGCCCACAGTGCTCTGCTGGAGCAACTGGAGCCAGGGAGGAGCCACCCAGGGGTCATTCTGGCCATTTTCTTGCCACCAACCAGACCTCACTTCCTGTTGTGAGCATTCATCTCCACAGTGTGAGCTGGTCAGATGGAGGAAAGTTGGGACAAGGGGCTTGAGATCCTCTCATTTACTCATTCAGTAACTAGGTCCCAAGCACTTATCTTGTTCCAGGGCTAAGTATGGTCTGGGTCTCTCAGTGAATGAATGACATGGCCCTTGTCCTCCAGGAGCTCACAGTCTGGAGGGGAGGAGGAGGGACGGAATCATTAAAATAGAGGAAAAGTGCGAGCATAATATTGAAATAAAGCACAGTGCTACGAAGGGGAGATGAAGATCACTTCAAGAGTGGGAGGTAGGTCTGAAAAGGCCTCACTGAGGTGAAATTTATACTGAGAAGGATAATTGGGACCGGCCCTGTGAAAGTCCGAGACCAGTGTGCCAGGGGAAGGATCAATGGCCAAAAAGTCCAGGAAAAAGTGAGTTTGGCCAGAGAGGAGGTAGAAAGAGGGCCAGCGTGGCTGGAGAGAGCTTGCAAGTAGAGGAGGGGAGGGAGGCTAAAGGCAGGGGTGGATTCTGGATGGCCCTGCATTAGTAATCTACAGCTGTATGAAAGCATTATCCCAATCTTAGAGGCTTGCAACAAACACGTAGATCTTCCTGTTTCTGGGGCCCAGGAATCCAGCAGGACTTATCTGGGTGCTTCTGCCATGGTATCTCTCAGGAGGCTGGGGCTGTGGTCTCAACTGAGGCTCGAGTGGGGCTGGATCCAATGCTAAGCCCACTCATATAGTTACTGGAAGGATTCAGTTAGGACTGATGGCCTGAGCTCCCCTCTGTCCATTTCCCTCTCTATATCCTAGGACACATGAGCCTCTCCATAGGGCAGCTCATAACACAGCAGCTGATTCCCCAGAGTCAGGGATCTGAGAGAGGGAGAGACAGAGAGAGGACAACACAGAGAAAGAAAAGGAGAACAGAGGAGAGAAAGAGCAAGATACTAGTCATGGACATTTTATAACTGAATCTTGGAAGTGACATCTCATCCCTTCTGCTATATTCTATTGGTTAGAAGTGAGTCACTAAGTCAGTCCATACTCCAGGGGAGGACATGACACAAGGATGTGTACACCAGGAGGTGGGGGAACCTCTTGGAGCCATTGAGGTGGCTCCTACCACATAGGCTGAGACGTGGCACTCGGGTCTGAATGTAAACAAACATTTAACCGTCACAAGCGCTGATGAGGATGACAATATCAGAATTTACTAAATTTCAGCCCTCTAATAGTACACACAGGGAAATGAGGCCAGGAGGAATGGGACATTTCAAAGATCACATGGCAGGAAACCAGGCCTCTTTTTAGTTGTGTTCCATGATAATTCCTACCATCCCTTCATGCATTTCATGTCTAATTTGTCCATTACCTACATGTGATACCAGCCCACAGGTTTCCTAAGTGTTATCTCACACATGCCTGATGACATCCCTAGGGAGTCGATGCCAGGATGATCTCCATTGTGCAGGAGAGGAGGCTCAGGGAGACCCTGAGAGGCACAGTGGCTTTGCCCAGAGTCACATAAGTGGTAAGAAGGAGGAGCTGGGTCTGAACCTACATCTGTCTATTCCAAGGTGGGACCCTGGCTGCACCCAGGCCTTCCACAGGGCCTGTAGGGAGGCAGGGTTAGTGAAATTCTGTACATCTATGGAGGGTCATTGGGTAGGGGGGTGTGCAGACAGTAGCCCACAGGGTCATTTGCAGTCTTCTAATCAGGGAGGGGACTCAGGGAGGGGATGCAGGTAAGGGAACCCCAGGATGTACAGAAGGTGTGGAGAGCATCGTGCTGAGAAATCTGGCTGCAACCTCAACAGTGATGTCCAGCCAGGTCTCAGGGGTCGGGCTGCTCCCCTCCCCACTTCAGAGTAAACATCAACATGACTGACATTCCACGTGCCTTCCAATGACAAAACCTTCCCTCTGCCTTTCAGAGATGCCCAGTCAATGTCCCACTCCCAGGACGTCTTCCTAGACTGCAGTCTACCACATAATTGGGTTGAGTTTATCAATGCTGTGTCCCCTCCCCAGCTTCTGGCAGCTCTGCTCTGTGTGGTCCAGCCCTATCCCCTCCCTACACGCTCACCTGCACCTACCTCCAGGCCTCCTCACCCTCAGACCCTGCCTCAGTGGACTCTGGGTGCTCCAGCTGGGCCAGGAGTAGGTGGACACGGTGCTGCAGGTCCGGGCAGGCATGTTGAGCTGCAGATAGGCCCCAGCACCTCGAGAGGGGGCAACTGTGGGGGCTGATAGAAATCACTGGCGTAATGATCCATCCAGGTGCCCAGCATGGAGGAGATGGTGCAGGGGGAGGCAGGTGAGCAGAACACATACAGGACCAGTCTCTCCTTCCACCCTGCCCTCCAAGGGACATCCCTGGGAAAACCTCTAACTTGGCTCATGCCTAAATTCCTGTGTGCAGCCTATAGGTCTCCTCTTCCCACCGACACTTCTCTTACCCCACCCCCATGGTCTCCATCTGTGATGTCAGCGTGCGTGTGCGTGTGCGTGTGTGTGTATGTGTGGATGCTGAGAGCTAACAGTTCCACAGGGGATGGTCAGGCAGGATGGTGAATCAAGGTCCAGTTGGGACTGTCTTCCTGGGGAAGACACAGGTGGACCCTTTCCCGAGCAGCTGTGCCTACTGTCAATGCTCACACACACGGGGCCCACGTGGGATGCAGACAGGGCAAACACGGGAGACCCCCTGCACAGAACATGCTCAAGGCACCAATGGTTCCTCCAACATCTGTTCCCACCTGTCCTGTCCCCTGCAGCCAGAAAGTGGTATTAGCCTCACTTAACCATATGGAATTGCAGGGAGTGGCTAGTTCCCTAAATGGTAATGTAGGCACTATAACAATTAGAAGTGAACATGGATGTGGGCCAGGAAAAAGCTCCGGATCTTCAGAATTACACAAAGCACCCACACCCCTGCCTCTTGTGTAGAGGAAATAAGTTCCAGAGAAAAAATCGTCTGGTTCAAGTTCACACACAGATTCAATGAAAAGCTGGTATCTTGGTTAGGATTAGTTTTGCCTACACATAGCAGAAAACCCAGAATAACAGCACCACAGAGAAGAGAGAGAAAGAGTTATTTCTTTCTCCAATAAAGGAGCTCTGGAGGTGGGCTCCCTGCTGCTCCTGGATGGCCCCCCAAGGCAGTCAGCCAGCATGAATCTTTCTGCCCCAGCATCTTCATAGCTGGTTTCCATCCTGAAGGCTGTCTCAGGGCCCACGGTGACTGCTTTTCAGAGGGAAAGGAGGAGGAAAGAAGGACAAAGGGGCCGCACAGCTGTGTCAGTTCCACCTAAGCACCCTCCCCAAAGACCCTCTCAGTCCTTCTGCTCACAGCTCATCAGCTTGAACTTTGTCTGGTCCCTCTTAGCTGCAGGAGAAGTTAGGAATAATAGCCTTTTAGTTTGTTTGGCAAATTGTTTTCCTAATAAAACTGAGTCTCTGTTTCGAAGAAAGAGACAAGAATGAAAACCGCGTGTACACGAACAAAGCTCTCTCCCTACCCTAAACTCCAAGCTGAAGGAGGCAGGAGGGATTGACTTCTTTTCGGCTGAATTGGGCATTCCTTCACCTACCACGGCCTCTCTTTTCTTGGTGATTATTCATTCTCGGAGAGGGGACAAAAGCCGTGATTCCAAACTAAGACATTGGAGTGGGAAACCCGCTTTCAGTTCCTCAGCAGAATGATGAGAACCTCTGTGTCGTCTTTCATCTGTCTGCGCATTGGCAGAAGGTCTGAGAAAACCCTCTTTTATATCCTAAATGGAAGAGCGGAGGTGGAGGATTGTGGAGAATTTTGGGCAAGCAGCATGTTCCTAAACCGGGTCACAATTGAAGCTCTGTAAATGAACGAAGTGGAATGCTTTGACCTCACCATGGCCCCCGGAACACCTTGACCTCTATTGTGAGTATTACAGCAAAAACAGTCCACACAAAATACAACTAATAATGGTTGAAAACTCCACATGGTAAAATTTATCACTGACAAAGAACTGATGAAAGAAAAAAATACTTAAAAAACATTTTGACATGTATTATTTGACCCCGGGCACATGAAAAGGTAGAAAGAATGATTCCAAAAAAACTTAAAAAGAGAGAATATATAGTCAGTAAATTATGTGGACAAATGACTTACATAAAACTTAATTGATCCTGATAACAATTTCAGTTTTCTAAAGTATAAAAAATCAAATTTTAGTAAATTAAAAATAAAAGTGAGTAAACGACTTTGGTTTACTTTCTGTATGTTAAAAAATCAGTGAGTTAAAATATCTTACTGAAGTTTGCTGTCAACAAAATTTTAAACTGTTGATAATAATTCTTTTTTTTTTTTTTTTTTTTTGAGATGGAGTTTTGCTCTTGTTGCCCAGGATGGAGTGCAACGGCACGATCTTGGCTCACTGCAACCTCCACCTCCCGGGTTTAAGCAATTCTCCTGCCTCAGCCTCCCGAGTAGCTGGGATTACAGGCATGCGCCACCACGCCCGGCTAATTTTGTATTTTTAGCAGAGACAGGATTTCACCATGTTGGTCAGGCTGGTCTTGAACTCCTGGCCTCAAGTGATCTGCCCACCTTAGCCTCCCCAAGTGCTGGGATTACAGGCATAAGCCACCACACCCGGCCTGTGTTGACAATAATTTTGATTTCAAAGGTTACTGAGCACAGAATAAAAATATTTTGAGGGATCGAATCTCTCTAAGGTAGTGGCAGGGTCAGAATAGCAGAGTCAAATGGAAGGCAGCACTTGCAAGGCCAAATGGACTTTTGTCATTTTAAATGTGACACAGAGATAATAACTATGTAAGTTAATCCCACAATGAAATTTTTAAGCAGGTTTATTAGTGAGATTACGGTAATAGCCAAATAACCGTTCATATTCCAGGGGTGTAACACTGTATTTCACTGCCCCCTGGCTTTGCTGGTTGTGCACTCAGTTTGGGGAGGCAGTTCTCCCTGTGGTCACTGAGGAACCCTGAATTCTTCCACCTGGTGCCTTCACCATCCCTGGGACTTCAACCCCATCTGCATTCAGCAGAAGAAAGAGAAGAAGCATGGAGAAATACCCGTGGGGGGATTTTATGGGCCTGGACTGGCAGTGGCTCCCATAAGTCCCACTCCCCTTCCCTTGGCAAGAACTGGTCACGTGACTACACATAACACAAGGGAGTCTGGGAAATGTGGTACAGCTGTGTGTGCAGAGAAGGGGAGAATGGATTTTGCTGGACAGCTAGAGTTCTCTGCAACTGTGAGTAACTCATTTGGATTAATTGTGTTTCTCATTTTATTTTGTTTTAAGACAGGGTCTTGCTCTATTACCCAGGCCGAAGTATAGTGATGTAATCATGGCTAACTGCAGCCTGGACCTTCCAGGATTAAATGATCTTCCCACCTTAGCCTCCTGAGTAGCTGGGACCACAGGCACGTGCTACCACACCCAGATAATTTCTTAACTTTTTGTAGAGATAGGATTTCACCATGTTGCCCAGGATGGCCCCCAGCTCCTGGGCTCAAGCAATCCCTCCACCAACTCGACCTCCCAGAGTTCTGGGATTACAAGCACGAGCCACCATGCCTGACCAAACGTGATTCTCAAATGTTTGTTGAGTGTCTACTGTATGCTAGGCCCTGAGCTAACAGCTGGACAGAGAGCTGCACCATAGCCTGAGAGAAGCTCCCAGTCTGCAGAAGGAGATCAGACGTGGTATGAAGTGCTTGCTATCCTAAGAAGGATAAAGTGAAAGTGCTAGAAGGCTAGTGAATTATTCCAGCATAGGAAGCTGCCTGAAGATGACAGCAACTGAGCTCCATTTTTGTAGAGAAACTAGATTTGGCTGGTAGAGGGAGACAGCAGGGGGAGCTACAGAAGCATGTAATTTTTTTTTTTCTTTTTTGAGATGGAGTTTTGCTCTTCTTGCCCAGGCTGGAGTGCAATGGCGCTATCTCGGCTCACCGCAACCTCCGCCTCCCGGGTTCAAGTGATTCTCCTGCCTCAGCCTCCCGAGTAGCTGGGATTACAGGCACGGGCCACCACGCCTGGCTAATTTTGTATTTTTAGTAGAGAGGGGGTTTCTTCATGTTGGTCAGGCTGGTCTCGAACCTACCTCAGGTGATCCGCCCGCCTTGGCCTTCCAAAGTGCTGAGATTACAGGCGTGAGCCACCGTGCCTAGCCCAGAAGCATGTAATTTATGTACAAGTTATGGTAAGGAACGCTAGACGGCAATTAAAGTCAGATTTTCAAAAACATTAAATGGCACGAATAAGTGCTCATACTAAGTGCAAAAGTAACTGGGAATACAGGATCTCCCACTGTTTTTGAAAAAAATCTCTATATCTAAATTAGATGAAAGTATACAACTCTTTTGAGTGATAGTTTTCATTTCTCTGAAATGTTTTATTGTTTATAAAATCAGCCGGGCATGGTGGCTCACGCCTATAATCCCAGCTACTCGGGAGGCTGAAGCAGGAGAACAGCTTGAACCCAGGCAGCGAAAGTTGCGGTGAGCTGAGATCGTGCCACTGCACTCCAGTCTGGGCAGCAGAGTGAGGCTCCGTCTCAAAATAAATAAATAAATAAATAAAATCAGAAGGATTCCATCAATATACTTTGATTGGTTTACTATTATCTTTAAACCAGACGTACATAGCTTTGATGTAAACCAGTTATTCTCAACACTGTCCCACCCCTCACCCTGCTAACGCTGTGAGACTGCAACCTTGTCTCCATTTTCTGTCCTAGAATCCGAAGCCTCATTCAACTGCTCAATTAATACTCCCTGAAATGGTGTACTGGGGAGAGACTTATTTTTTCATAACGTGCAATGACAAAACAAAGACTTCCACTAGGAAGCACCCCCAAAGCACTGAATCTTACACAGTTTGTTTGCGATCTAATCAAAATCCTGAGAAGACACCTTTTATTTTTATTTATTTATTAAAAAAAAAAAAAAACAACACACCGCACTTTTAATGTGATCTTTTGGAGACGAAGTTTTGGAGCCCTGCAGCATTCATGCCATTTTCTATATGGCCACCAGAGGGCAGTGTGTGTGCGACTGCTTTTGACGATGATATTGCCCATTTCAATAGTTGTCCAAGCTGGCCTTCTTCAGAATGTGTTCATGACCTTAGGGAATTCCTCTTTCTTTTCTGTTTTTTTGATACAGGGTCTCGCTCTGTCACTCAGGCTGGAGTGCATGGCATGATCATAGCCTACTGTAACCTCAAACTCCTGGGCTCGAGCAACTTTCACCGCCCCCTGCCCTTAGCCTCCCTAGTAGCTAGGACTACAGGTATGCACCACCACACCTAGCTAGCTTTTAAAATTTTTTGGAGAGACAGAGTCTTGCTATGTTGCTCAGGCTGGTCTTGAACTCCTGGCCTCAAGTGATTCTCCAGACTTAGCCTCCCAAAGCACTGGGATTACATACAGGTGTGAGCCACTGCACCTGACTGAGAATGTCTTCAATAAACTTTTTTTTATATCTCTATTATCATTTGGAAGCTAATGAAAATTCCCTATAAGGAACAAATATAAGATAATCCTCTGACTGGAAATGTACCTTGAGACAAAGGCAGCCATGGACAATTGCGTCTAACCCCAGACCTGTGTCCAGATCTGCCGCTCTCTTCTCCATCCATTCATTCTACAAACCTCTGTCTCTACAAAATATCTTTCGACAATTGGACGTAATGTACTAGAGACACTTTCCAATCACAGCAACCCCTTCTTTGTGATATGAATCTTTTGGTAACAGGGGTCTTCCTCATAAGAGAGTAGAATATGAAATAAAGGAAGACCAAATAAAGGAAATTGGCAGGAGGTCTCAGTGGAAGTCTGTCCAGAGGGGAAATCTCATGTTAGCATAGCAAAAATCCATTATACATTGTCTGCTATCTCCAACGCAGTGAGTTTCCACTTTCCCTCTAAAAGTTTGCTAAAATCCTTTATATTCTAAGAACATCACGTTATAATAACAAAAGTAGTCATAACAATTTTAAGAAAAAGACAAAATTACTACTTTAATCACCAGATGCTCCAGCTTCTACAGTTCATCCCTCAGTATTCTATCATAATCATTGGTCAGCCTCACAAGATATTAATTTGAGAGGAGTAATTCTACACCTTGGTTCTGACCATATACCAGAGTTTCTTAGCCCAGTACCTGGCCAAGGAGAGGTGCCTTAGAATACCCAGCAAATGAACTTGGGACACAAGATCTGACAGGTTGGAGAAGAGCATTTGACATTGGGACTCTCATTTAAAACAGCTCAGATATGAGGTCACCATAAACATACTACTTGATAACCTGACAGGCTCTTTAAACCTGATTGTCCTTCCACAGCAACCCCCAGCTTGGACCTACCTGGCCCCAGGTATTTCCCAGAATCACCCCCTGCTTTGACTTCTCTTGCTTACTTTGGTCTCCCTTGTGTCCTACTGGGTGGTTCTTCACTCTACGTCTCCGAGGACACCTCTGACACCCTTGGATACCCTAATGAATCTCCCATTTCTGGCCGACCTGCCATCACCTGCAGCTGGTTCTACACTTGACTTTGATTGCAGTATCATCCACACTCCGGTTAGAAGACACTCCCAGCATGCCGAGCCCAGGAGCCCACAGGAGCCAAAGAAGGCCCCCTCCCAATCTATTCCAACATCCGCATTAGGGATAGGGGATTCAAATGTCTACAGATACGTTGGGAAGAAAAGGGTCTCATGCCATCTTACTTAGAAAATGATTCCCTATTTCCGATAAGTTACTACACAATTGTGTGATTTATTTGTTCTCCTTCATGCAATAAGAGAACTTGGTATAAACAAAAAAAGTTCGATGTCCTAATACAATTAAAGAATATCTTAACAATGTGAATATTTCTTTCCTATTTCTTTTCTTTCTTTTGTTTATGATCTTATTAAAAAATGGGAATGTGATACCCTGTCTCTACTAAAAATACAACAAAATTAGCCGGGCGTGGTGGCGAGCGCCTGCAGTCCCAGCTACTCGGGAGGCTGAGGCAGGAGAATGGCGTGAATCCGGGAGGCAGAGCTCGCAGTGAGCCGAAATCGTGCCACTGCACTCCAGCCTGGGCGACAGAGCAAAACTCCGTCTCAAAAAAATACGGGACTTAAAGTAAAGCTATATCTGCTTTCTAGGGATGGCTAGAATGGGAACGTTCTGTTACTTGTTTGTTTGCCTTTACAAATATTTTTAGTTCAGTAGGAACCATAGAATTCAGTGGGTCACATCCTTGCATTTTGCAGGTGAGGCAGCTAAGGCCCAGAGAGAGGGTGTGTCTTCCCTAATGCTCATGGTCACCAATTCCTCCACCTACCTGCAGAAAATAAATAGGATCTTATTACACCCAGTATCTCCAGATTCTAGGCCAGTGCGTTTAAATAGTAGGCATCCAGTAAATCAAGTTAATTGAATTATAACTTAACTCGGAGGACTTGCCTTCCCCGCCCTGTCTGCCCCTGAGTGCCTGGTGCTGGCTTTGACCCTAACTAGATATTAAACAGGAGGAGTGGTATGGGGTAAAGTTTGGAACAACACGTTTTCCTTTAGTGTATAAAAATTCTATGATTTCCAAATGTATGAAAACGTTGATTGAAACAACTTCTCTCCCTGAGATCAAAGCTATCTCTCCCTCCCTCTCTCTCTCTCTCTCTCTCTCTCTCTATCTATCTATCTATCTATGTGTTGCATTGTTTTATTTATGTATCTTCTCAGCCCTTTTGCGTAAGGGATGGGGAAGAGCTGTTTGTGATGAGAAAAGAATAACTGCATTGAGTTAATTCTATGACTCATGTTTTTCACACTTTTACACATATCTGGAATTGACAATATCTTAAAACACTGGTGTCTCCATGGAGTCGTGGTGCGGTTATCATTGCCTGAGAATATGTGTCTTTGGTTGTTATTACTGCGGACCTGTCTGGATGATGGCAACCACTTAATGTCTGAGTCAACAAATTATGGACACAATTGCAGAAAGAAGTCAATGTTCTGGTTGTCTGAAATTATCTTTGACATCTGATAAAATCAAGACAGGCCCAGTAGTAAAACTTGCAGACTTAGTATATAATCCAAGAAGAAAACTCCAGCAACTAAACTGTGGCACGCTTTTAAGAGCGGCTGCATTCCCAGGGTTCTGTAGAACATTGAGTATTTAGAAAACCCAAAAGGACACCACTGACTGTGAAAAGATGGACACTGAATACCAAAAAGGTTTGAAAATACCTAAGCCTTTTATTTTGCTTGTATTTTCTCCTTTACACATTCATAAGAGGGATATATATTTTAAAATCCATGTGTAAAGACTCCAAAAGCTCTGTGTATACACTAAATGTGTAACGATTTTGATGACTAAAAAGCATTAGGTTCTGTAAACCTAAAACTGTTGTAATATAGTTTTTTTTTTAAAAAGAAACATTGGGTAATAGTACAATTGAATAAATGTTTCTTTTTTAGTGATACATAAAGCAATGTTCTTACAGTTGATGATGACTCAGACGCAATGAAATATGGGCATTTCATGCCTGATTCTGAGTCATTTTGCTACTACAGTCAATAGACAATAAGTTCCCCCAAACAAGTGATAGCAATAGCAACTTTTTTGTTTTTATTTTTTATTTTTTGAGACGGAGTCTCGCTCTGTTGACCAGGCTGGAGTGCAGTGGGAGGATCTCAGCTCACTGCAAGCTCCGCCTCCTGGGTTCAAGTGATTCTCCTGCTTCAGCCTCCTGAGTAGCTAAGACTGCAAGTGTGCACCACCACACCTGGCTAATTTTTGCATTTTTAGTAGAGATGGAGTTTCAGCATGTTGGCCAGGCTGGTCTCAAACTGCTGACCTCAGGTGATCCGCCTGCCTCGGCCTCCCAAAGTGCTGGGATTACAGGCATGAGCCACCACACCCAGCCTGATAGCAACTTTTAAAGTTTAATTTTGTTAATGGTTTTAGGGAAAAAAAAATCTGACTCCTCACTTATTTTTGCACCAAATGAAAAAAGTCATAATAAAAGGAAAACTACGAAGTTATAAACTGTTCTGTGACCCAGTAATAAGTATGTGTCTGTGTTTAATGACTTTCCATACTCAGAAGTCACATTGCGTATTTGTTTACCATAAAGAAAGCAGATCTTGGCTGGGTGCGGTGGCTCACACCTGTAATCCCAGCAGTTTGGGAGGCCGACGTGGGTGGACCACCCGAGGTCAGGAGTTCGAGGCCAGCCTGACCAACATGGTGAAACCCCGTCTCTACTAAAAATACAAAAATTAGCTGGGCGTGGTGGTGCATGCCTGTAGTCCCAGCTACTCGGGAGACTGAGGCAGGAGAATCACTTGATCTGGGAGGCGGAGGTTGTGGTGGGCTGAGATGGCGCCATTGCACTCCAGCCTGGGCAACAAGAGCAAAATCCATAAAAAAACAAAAAACAAACAAACAAAAAAAACCAAGAAGGCCGAAGATCTCATGGGCTCATGGGTCCCTGGGTTGAATTCTGAAAATTTACCTAGTTTAGTGAGAGAAAAGGTATCTTGACATGATTCACTTGCCTTTTAACATACTTCGGGGGCAAATGAAGAGTAGCTTTGATAATTCCAGTTTTCTAAATCTAAAATGTGTTCTCCATAGATATGACTTTACCAAGATGAGGGTATTTCTGTTTGTCTGCATAGGCTTGATCTGCAATTTATAATGGCATCTACATTCACAATATTAATATAATTTTTCATCAGAATCAGAAGAGTGTGACTTTTGTGATAATGTAAAATGATAAAAACCTGCATGTCTGAAGTTGTACTTGGAGATCTCTTTTGCAGTGTCACCAGAGTATCTGGTTTGATGCTGTGTATTTCACCATTACTCAGCATGCGGGTGACTGCTGGCTGCTCTGCTCATCAAGTATGCTTTCTTTTCAAACAGCCTTTGGGAAACTGACAAGTGATGACATATGCTTATATTTATCTTTAGATCCACAATTTAGTGATTGTTATTTGTAAAAGACCCTTTTCATGGTCATCCATTCAGCAAATATTTATTGTGTAGTCACTGCAAGCCATGCACTACGTTACAATTACCTTACAAACAACATAGCTAACTAAATCAATATTTATATTAGAGTTAAAGATATCAAGCCTTAGAAAAAGCTAATTTAGTTATCATAAGAGAAGCTGTGACCAATATGTTTGACATCTGTACATACAGATAAAATATTGTTGCCCACACCAGGGTGATGTGATAAGTGGTCAAATTCCCATTAATTCAAAATTCTTATCCAATAGTTTCCTAGATTGCCTAAAACGTTCCCCTTTAGTCTCATTTTTTTGGTAATTTTTGGCCAGGTTTTCTAACCAGCAGTTTATGGAAATCTATGTTCCACAATCCTAGAGAATTCATCACTAGATCTGCAATATGAGAAATATTAAAGGGAATTTTTCAAAGTGAAGATTTTTTTAATTAATAGTTGAGGGTGCAGAAATGTAGGAAGGAATGAAGAGGAGCACAAAATTTTGTATATACTATGTATACGTATACACACTGAATTAACATCTACTTTTAAAAAATAACAATTATAATAATAGCTAGCAGGGTGGAAACATGTAGAGGTAAAACATGGAAATAATTGTGAAAAGGGAAGTAGGATGACAAACGGAGTCAATGAGTGAAGATTCCGGATCGCTTCTCGAAGCTACACTAGAAGTGGGACTTTTGTTTAAGCGACAGTATTAAGTCAAGGATAAATACTGAATCTGTAGGGCAACCACCAATCAAATTAAAATAATTATATATATCTATGTACACATTATGGACATGAATGAATAAATGTTTATTTATACACATAACTAAAAGAGTGAAAAGTGGAATTCTAAAACAAACAAACCAACCCAAAAGAGAGGAAGCAAATCTCAAGTGTCATGTCATTACCAAACAATAATTATATGATTATTAGAGAGAGCTGACATATTATAAAGGGTAACAGAGGAGAAAATGGAATGATTTAAAATTATCTGGAGAACAGGCGCGGTCACGGCGGAACGCTGACATCAGCCTCCTGCGGCCCGGGCGGCTGCACCCCGCGAATCCCCAGCCGGAGCAGCTGCGGGGCGCCGTGCGGGTGGCGGAGCGGCCGCCCCGCGCGTGGAGGAGCGTGGCCAGCGCAGCCGGGATTCGGAGCAGGGCCGCAACCTCGCGGTCCTTGCCCGCGGCGACCGTGACATCCGCGTAGACTCGCCCTTTAACACCCGCGACGCCCCGGGGACCGGCCCGGGTCGGCGGTGGCCGCGGGGCTGTGAGGGCGGCGACGAGGTTCCGCAGGTCGGCGAGTCGCAAGGCCGCCAGGGGGCCGCGTGTCGGTCCGTCCCTCCCGCTTGGGGCCGCCACCAGCCCGTTCCCTGTTCCGCTCCCCGCCCGGCACCCTCCGGAGCCCTGGTCCCGGAGCCAGGGGCCCTTTTCCTTCTCCCGTCCCCGCCCGGTCCCCGACGGGGCGCGCGGGAGGAATTGCCTGAGCAGGACGCCCCCTGCGTAGGTGGGTGGGTGGGAGCGGGGCCCGGGGCCGCCAGTCCTGGGGGGCGATCGCGGGTGTCGCGGGGAGGGTGTGGCCGGGCTCGGCGCGGGCCGGGAGGGAGGTGGTCGTTGGGCGTCTGACACCGCCCGCCCCCCCACCGCCCGGGTTTAAATGTCTTGCTCCCTCGGAGCCTCCCCAGTCCCTGCGCGCCCGCGGGACCCCCACTCTGGAGCCACCTCCTTCCCAGAAGACGCCGCCAAATTAGAGGGCGCGAGCCCGGGAAGGAGCCACTCGCCCCTCCCCTTTCTGTGGGCGGCTCCAGATGCCCCTCTGAAGGCCCAGGTGGTGACCGGAGCCACCTGAGTGTCCTCAGCAAGGGGGTTCAGGCCTTCATGCAGGGGGAGAACTGCGGTGAGCAGTTCTGGATTTCTGCTCTCGGCCCCGCACCACCCAGCAGCATTTTGTTCTCGTTTTCAGATATATTTGTGTGTCTCTTGATTTTCTGTTACTCTCCGTAAAGGGGAAACCAAGTTGCCACAAATTGTAAAGACTGAAATCATACTATGTTCTCTGCTAAAAGTGGACTCCTACTAGAAATCAGTAACAGAAAGAGAAATAGAAAATTCATAATGTTTGGAAATGAAGCACCATACTTCTACATGATCCATGTGTTAAAGAAGACATCACAGTAAAATGTAGATAATAATTCTAACTGAATGGTAATGAAAATACAGTATAGTAATACTAGTGGGATGTTGCTTACAAGGAACATTATTGCTTCAAATGCCTATGCTGGAAGAAGTGATGAAAATCACTTAACAAAGCTTCTGTGGCAAGAAACTAGAAAGGAATAGCAAATTAAACAGAAGAAAGTAGAAGCAGCTAGATAACAAAGAACAGAAATCAATTATAAGAAAGCAAATGTACTATATGAAAAATTAACAAAGGTAAAAGTTGGTACTTGGAAAAACTAGTAAGATGATTTTTTGTAAACAAACAAAAACCTGGCACATAAAAAAAGATTAAATATGGGTAGGGATGATAATGATCAGGGAAGTCCAGGAGCATGAAACTGCCCAGAGAATCAGCATAGACAACGGTACGTGGTTAAGCAGCTCAACAGTGACTTGTCCTGCATTTTATTGATTCTCTTGGCTTTTCCCTCATGCAGACGATGGCTGTCACATCTCCAGACTTTACTTCTACTGACACTATTTGTAGTGACACCCCGGTGTCAGCAACTTGTTCCTGCCACCCTGGATGCTTCCAAAAGCCAGACTCCTGTGCATCAGCCTTTGGCAGCAAAGTGCAGAGCGTCCTTGCTTAAGTAGCTTGCTTCTGATTTGAAATCTTCTGAGCATGGATCTGATTGGTGGAACTTACACTCCAGCTGCAATTCCTGTGTTCTTGAGTTCTCTTTCACTTAAGTTACTCTGTTAGCAGCTCATCACCTCTTGCCAATTAGTAACTCATCTTGTTAAATTGTTCCTATTCAAATTATGGGTGTGTTTCTGATTCCTGGCTAGATCCTGACTGACACACTTTCTCAGCAAGATTAGCACGTGTCTGATTTTGAACTGGACAGTCAGTCTTGGATTTGACATTCTGTCTGGTATAAGCTAGGCAGAACTATAAATGCTATTTTTAATTTATGTAAAATTTTTATTAAAATAGTCATATGCTCAGAAGTTATGCAACTGAATGTAAAATGTGTATATTTATGTATCATATACACATATTTATGTATCATACTTTTTATAATTTTGTCTATGCATTTTTATCAAATGTATTATTTTGAACTCATTCTGTAATCCTATTTCTACCTATGTTTCCAAATTTTACAAATGGGCACATTTTCTCTTTTATGGCACTCTAATCCCTTTTTCCAGCCAAGAGCATTAGTGTATTGGTTTAAGCTTCAAGATTTCAAGTTATATCGCCTCAAGTAAATCCTTCCTCTGCAGCTGTTTGAAATTTGTCAAGTAATAGCACTTTCCAGAACAAAACCAGACACAAAAGAAAACACATTCTATATGCCATTTATTTGAAGTCCAATAACAGGCAGAAGTCATTAGATGTTCTGGGGATTAAGGGAGTGATGGTTTTTATGTCAACTTGATTAGGCTCTAGTCTCAGCTGATTATTCGAACACTGTGCTGCCATGAAGGTATTCCGTAGATGTGATTAACATCTACAGTTCACTTCAGATAAATGAGATTATCCTCTATAATCTGGCTGGGCCATTCCAATCAGTTGAAAGGCTTTAAAAAGAATTGAAGTTTCCCTGACGAAGAAGAAATCTCCTCTCTGGATTGTGGGTCAGCTCCTACCCAGACTTCCAGCCTGACCTCCTGTGGCCTGCCCTGTGGATTTCAGACTTGCCCAGGAACCCTCACAACTGCTTGCTGTATATGTATCTTACTAGTTCTGTGTCGGAGGAAGAGCTTGACTGATACAGGTGGGAAAGTGAAGAGGCACAAGGGAAATTTCTTGAGTGACAGAAATGTTCTATAACTTCTTCCAGCAGAGGCTACCAAGATTATATAACAGGCTGGGTGCTGTTGCAGGCTCATGTCTGTAATCCCAGCACTTTGGGACGCCAAGGCAGGAGGATCGCTTGAACCCATTAATTGGAGACCAGCCTAGGCAACATGGTGAAACCCTGTTCTACAAAAAATACAAAAATTAGCCAGGCATGGTGGCAGGCGCCTGTAGTCCCACCTACTTGGGAGGCGGGATGATCACTTGAGCCTGGTAGTTTGAGGCTGCAGTGAACTGTGAACCATGACTGCACCACTGCAATCCAGCTGGGACAACAAAGCAAGACCCTATCTCAAAAAAAAAAAAAAAAAAAAAGGGAAAGATTGTAAAACAATTTCAGGATTTAGTTTCATCATCTGTATTAGAACAAAAAACCTCCCTACCACTAATCATACATAAACATTAATTTGATATGAACCATAGACCTAAATATGAAAGTTACATTATAAAGTTTTTAGGAGGAGAATTTAGAGAATATCCTGTCTGCAATATAGAAAACTAGACACATGATTTAAATAGACCTTCCACAAAGGGAAGTATGCAGATGGCCATTCCACAGGGACACAGTACTCATTATAATGAATCACGAGAGAAACAAATGGAGACCACAATAAAGTGCCAACACACAATACTGAACAGGGCTAAAATTAAAAATACAAACACGACCAAGTGTCAGTGAGGATGCAAAGCAAGACCACTCATGTTGCTAGTGAGAGGGTAAAATGGCATAATCACTTTGGCAGTTTCTTATAAAAGTAAACATGTTCCTGACCTATAATTCAGCAATTCCAGCTCTCAGCATTTACCCAGGAGAAACAAAACACATGTCTGCAAAGAGACCTTTATCAGAATGTTCACCACCATTTTATTCACAGCTGCTCCAAATTGGTAACAGCACACACATCCATCAACACGAACATGTAGTATATTTGTCCAGTAGAATACTCCTCAGCAATGAAAGACAAACCATGGATAAAGCGACAGAATTAATGAATTTGAAAAGCATCGTGTTCTGCAGAAGAAGACACTAAAGAGCACATAAGGTGTGATTTCCCTTCCACCACTGGATTGTCTTTGTCTTTGTCAGGAAATAGTTCATGGATAAGTGTGGATCTACTTCAGGATTCTATTCTGTTACTTTGATCTATATGTCTGTTGTTATGTCAATACCACGCTGTCTCGATTGCTATAGTTTTCTAGTAAGTCCTGAAAGTAATGTGATCCTCTAAGCATGTCCATCTAAAGATTATTTTGACTGTTCTGTTTCTTTCGTTGATACATTTTTAATTACTGTAAGTTTTGTCAGGTTTTATTTAGATTCTAAAATTAATCACTGAAGTTGTAATTGATATTTATAATAAGTAATTTATATATCTTTAGTTTCTAGCATGGTAGTAGGCATAAATTAAATGTTGATTTCCCTATCTTTTTTTTTCTACTCTTCCCTTCCCCAAAATCTTAGACTTGCACAGGAAACAAACAGCCTTTCCTTTCATGGGTTACATTGAGTTATAATTTAACTTTGAGAAAAGAAGGGAACTAAAATGAGCAGTAGAGAGAATTTCACTATAAATTTTCAGTTTCCCAGTAGTCATTTTAAAAATCTTATGACTATAGGATTCCATAATTCATATAAGCAATTTCTTATTTGGCCAACTTTGTAACCAAATTTACAGCAGATGCTCACGTCCCTTTGCCTTCTCAAACATGCTAGCTAACTCCAAATGCCATGGGGGAATTAAAGTCCTAGACCTGGCTGAGCACCGAGGCCACCTGGAGATTGTTTTACCATCTGTCAGGCTTCACTTCAGACCTCTGTATCTGTGGTTTTTTGTTTTTTGTTTTTGAGATGGAGTTTTGCTCTTGTAGCACAGGCTGGAGTGCAGTGGCACAATCTTGGCTAGCTGCAACCTCCGCCTCCCGGAATCAAGCGATTCTCCTGCCTCAGCCTCCCGAGCAGCTGGGATTACAGGCACCACCACCCCAGGCTAATTTTTTGTATTTTTAGTAGAGACAGGGTTTCGCCATGTTGGGCAGGCTGGTCTCAAACTCCTGACCTCAGGTGATCTGCCCCCCACAGCCTCCCAAAGTGCTGGGATTACAGGCGTGAGCCACCATGCCTGGCCCTGTATCTCTATTTTTTAAGGACCTTAGTAATCTAGGTACATTCAGACTTTGAGGAACCAGAGCCTGGAATTGCCTGGCCTTAAACACTCAGCTCATGGGACATTGAGGAGAAGCTGGCAGTGCCCAGTAGAGCACACTAACAAGTCCCATAAAGGAAAGAAAGGCTTTGAAGATCCTTACTCCTGAATGGTGTCCCACCTGCCCTTAAGTTAGCTTTGAAAATAGGGATGCAATGTGCCGAATCGACCTCACCCCACAGTAGCTTTCTGAAGCTGGCATAAATATCAGAAAAAGGGCTGCTTTCCTGCCCTGCCACTTCCCCTGGCTCCCCAGCAGCTCCTCTGTCACTCTTTCCATCTGCAGACGCCCCAGGAGGCAATCAGCACAACAGCCTTGCCCCGTCCTTCAATCCTCCTTGGATTTGCTCCTGTTATTCCTTCTCCCTGAAATCCCCACCTCCCCACTCCATCACCGCCTGTCAGATCATTTCCTTGAATACCCAATTTAAATGGTATTTCCTCACTAAGCCATTGTGACTGTCTAGGTCTGGATTTTCCAGCCGTGTTCGGACTCCATGCATTCGGTTCCACTGTCACACTTTGAGGAAAGCCCATGTGCGCTGAAGTTTTGGTTTTCACACTGTTTGCTGCTCTCAGCGTCTTCACCTGGAGTTCATAATTCCCTCCTCCATGCACTCTGGCACTTTGGCTATGTCTCTGTGTTGGTGATAATTCCGGGCCTCTGTTCCAGCATCTGGGTGGCCCTCTGGCTCTGAAGCTGTCTTGAAGACAGGTATTGATTTTTATTCCCTGCATGTTCTCCTGGCATTCACCCCAGAGAAGAGGAGTGTGATATTATTCCACAAATAACTTCAGCCTCCAAAACTGCTAGTGCCCTCACTGTTTCACTTTACATTCAGCCATGTGGAGAAATCTAAGTAGGAATTGTTTTTATAGTGGTACACTCTAATGTTAGTATTTGCTGTGGGTTGAATTGCATCCCCACTACTCATTTGTTGAAGTCCTAACCCCCAGTACTTCAGAAAGTGACCTTATTTGGAGATAGGGTTGATGCAGATGCAGATGTAAAGATTAGGTTAGGATGTGATCATAATGGGGTAGAGAGAGCAGGGTGGGCTCTTAATCCAATATAAGCTGTGTCTTTACAAAAGAAGAAATTTGGACACAGAGACACAAAAAGGGAGAACTCCGTGTGGACGGGAAGGCAGAGATTCAAAGGATGCAGCTACAAGCCCAGGAATGCCAAAGATTGCCAGGAAACCCCCAGATGCTGGGAGAGAGGCATGGAGTGGCATCTCCCTCACAGCCCCCAGAAGGAACCAACACTGCAGACAGCTTGATCTCAGCCTTCTGTCCTCCCGACTGGGAGACAATAAATTTCTGGTTTTCAAGCCATCCAGTTTGTGGTACTTTGTTCTGGAAGCCCCAACAAACTAACAATGGACTCGATCAATGGACACCCTTGCACCTTCACTATCTACAGCTATAGACCTTTAGTATTGTAATCTGGAATCTCTAAGAATAATTCATGTGTTCTTTAGCTTGTCCTTCTTAGGGAGATAAGTAAATTCACAACTTAGTTCTTTCTTTTTTCTTCTTTCTTTCATTTTTTAAAACCAGTAAGGTTAATCAACTATAGATTGTTCTCCTTTTATGTCTTACCAAAGTTTTTGTGCCTGATAAACATTTACTTATCCTTCAAGACCAAGTATTTGAATTAAAATTCAGTGTGGCTACACATATCAGAGGCTTTAAAATAAGAATGATTTACACACAGAAAAGTTTGTCTCTCTCTCATATATAAGTCTGAATGTAAGTAATCCATGAAATCCTTGTAACCCGGGTTCTTTCTACCCTACTGATCTGTCATCACTAGGGCACTCATTCTCATGATTCAGTATGGCAACCATTGCTCCAGCCATCACATCTGCATTTCAAAGAGCATAATGTAGAGAATAACCAAGAAGAAAAGGGCACATTATATGAAGCATCTATCTTTTTTTCTTTTTTCTTTTTTTGAGATGGAGTCTCGCTCTGTTGCCCAGGCTGGAGTGCAGTGGTGCGATCTCGGCTCACTGCAACCTCCACCTCCCAGGTTCAAACGATTCTCCTGCCTCAGGCTCCTGAGTAGCTGGGACTACAGCCATGTGCCACCACGCCCAGCTAATTTTTTTGTATTCTTAGTAGTGACAGGGTTTCTTGTGCCACACGCCCAGCTAATTTTTTTGTATTCTTAGTAGAGACGGGGTTTCACCAAGTTGGCCAGGATAGTCTCGATCTCTTGACCTCATGATTGGCCAATCTTGGCCTCCCATAGTGCTGGGATTACAGGCTTGAGCCACGGCGCCTGGCCGAAGCATCTACCTTTTAAGGAAGGATCCCAGTCGCTACCACATGATGCTTCTGCTTATATCCTAGAATTAGCCACTTGGCTAGAATGTTATCACACGATCATACCCATGACACACAATGAAGGCTGGGAAATGTCATGCCATGTTTGTTCTGAGCCATCATCCTCCCAAATAAAATCAGACATTTTACTAATGTGGAAGAAGACAGTGGTGAGTGGGAGAAAACAACTTATCTCAGCCACATCTAGTTAAGATTTAATCTTGGGAAATAATTTATTTTATAAATTATTGATATTAGTGATATTCTGTATTAAGCAGCCCAACATCTGTATTAGTTACTTGAATGCTAGTTACTAAAACCAGGAGATCCACAAATTTCAGTGTCCTAATGTAATAGATACTTACTGCTGATTCACATGATAATCCAAGTGTAAATTTTTTCTTGACAGGCAGTTTTCTTCCTCAGTGTAATTCAGAGACAAAAGTTTCTTCCATTTCAGCCAACAGACAGGGGAAGAGTACATGGAACAGGCCACATTTCAAAGTCACAACCTAGAAGCAAACATATCACTTCCACTCACATCTCATTCGCTAGAACTCATCAGTCATCGGGCCACACCCAATGCAAGATGTCCAGGAAGAAGAGGAAAATAATTTATCTAAACAAGGAGCTATGCCTGCCACAATATTTATCTCTCCTGGAGGAAATGGTAGCATCCATGGGTCACCTGCTCATATAGCAATGTTGCTTGGGCCTTAACCCAGAAAGCAGCACCTTCACCTCTCTATGAGAACTGGAAGTATGCTGAAATCAAAAATAGTAGTGGGAAATTGGATGCTTGAAGAAAAATGTGAAAATTTATCTAAAAATGAACCACTTGCAATCATAAAAATAAATTATCCTGCTAGGATGGGAGAGGGACAGGATATTGACATTCTTTGATGTTTTCTTTGAGTATGAAAACTTCACTAGCCATTGATGTAATGAGTTGTTTTTATTTTTTCCTTTTAAGGGATTTGTCCATTTTATTTAAACTTCAAAATTTATTGACATAAAATTATAGAGAAGAGCAGTAGAGACTGGGGTAACTAGGATTTATGTTCAGAAGTGGGTGTACACCTTCTGCCAGGCCAGTAGTGTAGGGAGTTGAGACCATCTAGTCAGTAGTTGGGCTGTATTCAAATTCCTCCAGGGTGGGCTAGTTACTGTGACCTCCTGCTTAGTGTGGAGCCTGTGGTGCTGGCAGGTTTTCCTGTGTCACTTCTTCATTCTCAGCAGCTGGTTTCATGGGCAGGGGTCTCGTGCCATGCTCAGGGCCCTCCCGCAGCAGCGGTGTAACTGATGGATTATTTCTGTTGAGATATCCTACAAAGAGTCACAGCTCCTGTTGCCTTCTCCATCTGATTACATTTGTGGAAATCTACTGCTCATCTCCATAACCCATCTGGCTTTTAAGGTATCCAAAGAAGCAAGGAAAATGAGCAACAGTGGGAATTGCTAACCTGCCTGTCTCGAGGGTTTGATGACACTGCTCACCTCTCCTGTCTCCTCCATGGTTGACGTGTTGCCTTTGGTTTACTCTCAGGGATGGGGTAGTTCCAGGAACCTTTACTTGGGCCTTTCTTCCCTAGTAAGAAAAATTCCTGGGTTCAGGAAACCAGTGTGCAGATTCCGCCAGTGGCTAAAAATTCCTATCCCACTAGTTGATAAATACATCCTTTCTGGAACTGAGGAGTAACCACAGGCAGAGGCCATGGTCCCACTGAACAATCTTAACCTTGGGCCAAGGCAGCTTCTATCCCCAGACTTCCAAAGCCCTTGCTGGGCCACACAGCTTTTCTGATGTTGGGGATTCAAAATCTGCTCCAAACATGTAGACGAAATTCTCCAGAAAATGCATGTAGGTATCTCCCTTCTTCCAAAGTGTGGTCACAGCAGTAATTGCCTTTGATTTTGGGGACATTTGGGGAAGCTGAGGGAAAAGATACATGATACATACCTGAGACGACATTGCTGCCTTGAAGGGCTCCAATCTCTCCCTCAGTCTAGGAGCTCAGAGTCAGGTCATTACTGGCTTATGTCTCATAACTATGCTAGAGACAATGGATCCCGCTGCCCATCAATTTCATTTCTAAGGACCCCTGATCAATTACCCCTCACCATGTATCCCTGTGGGTCATTCTCTAATTCCCATCCTGCCCACAAGGCATACTGGTGACTGCATGCACCTTGTCTCTGATGCCTGAGCCATCTGACCCTGTCACTCTTCACTGTCCCCTACCGTCATTGGCAGCAATAGAGGATGGCCAAGCACAGATCTCTTTGAGGATGCTGGTGCCTCCTCTGCCTTTGCCAATGCACTTTTTAAACTCTTTGATGAAGTGAGTGAGCTCTGCTTTCTCCCAGCAGGCAAGATTAGGGATGGCTGAGCAGACTGCACATCATAGCTCCATCCCACCATGCCTGTCCTTATGCATTCTGACTCCTTCCTCCCTCCCTCAGCAGTATGGCAAGGACATTCGAGCATTCTGACCTCATTATCTGGAAGCCATCATAGGGCCCAGAGTACCAACACCACTAGCAGGTGGTCTATCCAATACTTTAAACCCAAATCCATAGTGGGCTCTCTCATGTCAATGAATTCAGTCCAATCAAGACCTTTATTTTGCTCCTTGGTCCACCGCCTTGGACCCACTCCCACTCCTGCTGCCCAGGCTTTTGCCAGCATGGACCTGCAAGGTCCCATAAGCTTTCAGCGTATAGTCATCTCCTCCAGGGCAGTCCTGGCAACGCTCTCTCCTGGCTAATGACCTATCTTTAGATCTCCCTTTTATTATGGGTTCCTAACTGTACAGTGAAGCAAGGTCAAGCAATTTTTTCACTGTACAGACCACCTCCTCCCCAGTCAAAAGGTGAATGTGAAGGACCAAATAGAAGTTATCTGTACATCAAGCTAACAATGGATTTTTACAAATAAATGAGAAAAATCTTTTGGGGGCAATGTATACGTGTATATTACCCTAATCGCAGTGATGGTTTTATGGATATATACATGTGCCCAGATTTGTGAAATTGTAATCTTTATTTGGCTGATGTGCATTGTAATATATCAATTATACTTCAAAAAGCTGTAAGGAAATTTACAGACTAACTTACCCAGGAAACTGAGCACAGTGTCCTTATCAATATGAAATATTAAGTAAACAATTTGTATTCCATAAAATATTACAAAGTCATAATGAGGAATTCTGGTAGGCTAAAAGAATTACATATAAAAGTGTATTAAGATTCTTGTAATACAGAAGGGATAATTTAATTTTTTTCTTGACATTCTTAAACTCCAAAATACTATCAGAGTGAAAAAAATTAAAGTCAAATGTAAAAATATCAAGAAAGGCAGAAGGTGCTTGAAATCAACAATGAGAAGACATAGTAAGTGAAAGGCCACCAGAGGGCAGTGCAGGACTGCTTAGGACAACGACATTGTTTTCCCCATTTTTTTTTTTATTAAAATTTTATTTGACAACGATTAGCAACTCAAATTGTAATTAAAATATCATTTGCTACATATTTAGGCAAACACCCAGAAACCCACTTTATATTCTATTAGTATACTAATTAATTGTGACACTATTCTTAAAAAAGAACAGAAAATAATGAACTCATTGCAAATATAATACTAATAATTTTAACTCCTTAGTTCTCACATTGTATCATTTCAATACTTCTATAAGCTAGCATTCAGAACAAGTTTTATTGTTTTAGAGAATTTTTAAAGAAATATTTACTTGCTGTTATTATTTGATATAATTTGGAAAATAATGTAAATTCCCTATAAGAAACAAATATAATTATCCCCTAACTGGAAGATGTATCTCCTTACACATGCAGACATATAAGATTAGTAATAAATGAATGAATGAGTGAAGTTGTATATTAATCAAACAAGCTATAAAAACCTTAAATGATGAAACAACTAAATGTAAGAGCTAAAACTAAAGGTCTTAGAAAAAAAATATAGGGGCAAATGTTTATGACCTTGGATTTGGATTAGTTTCTTAACATGTCATACAAAACACTAGCAGTAAAAGAAAAAAAACAGATAAATTGGGCATCATCAAAATTAAAAACTTTTGTATATCAAAGGACACTGTCAAGAGAGTGAAAAGACCACTCACAGAATTGCAGGAAATATTGGCAAGTGATGAATTTGATAAGAATCTTGTACCCAGAAAATATAAAGAACTCTTCCAGTTTAAGTACAGAAACCTTAACAATTGAACCAAAAATGGGCAATGGACTTGAACAGACATTTCTCCAAAGAAGATATACAAATGGTAAGCAAGCACATGAAAGGTGATCTACATTAGATGTTAGGGAGATGAAAAGGAAACCAACAATGAGATACCACTCCACACCCACTGGGATGGCTATAATTAAACAGTAAGAACAAAACATAAAATAGCAACTGTTGATATCCGTGGCCATCCCCACACCTGACGCTCACTGAAATATAAATGCAGGAGACAGAGTGAGACTTGAATACTACCAAAATTGCTTTTTAGCAGTGCTCCATAAGGGAGTTCCAAAACAAAGGAGTCTAAATAAAATGCAGGAGATGAAACCAAAACCTAAAGAGAAAACTTCAGAATTTCTGGAAAGGATTTTTAAAATGTATAGGCAATACACTGATGTAGATCCAGAGGCCCCTGAGAACTTAAAAATGGTAAATATAAGCTATATTAGCCAAAGCACTCTGGATATTCAGAAGAAACTACAGAAAACAGAGGAGACCCTGGGGATGCTGATGTTTCAACTGGTTGACATTGTCCTTAAGATTTTCAGTGGCAGAATCAAGTCCAGAAAGTGAAACAATAAGCTGCCTTGCTGGCGGTGGCACTGACCCAGGAACTGACCCATGGTCCACAAGTAGGAAGACCTTGATTAAACATAGGCAGCCTCCCATCCCAGAATCCAAACCATATAAGACACCCCGCAATGGGACCCCACTAATATGCCTACTGTAAACAAGAGGGAGGGCCATGGGAAAATAGAATGCCTCAACCAAAATAAGACTCTTGAAGAAGATAGGCATCAGGCAGTGCACCAAATGCCTGAGATCACCAACAGGGATGAGGAATGACGAAGCCTGGGCACTTGACTTTACTGATCCTGTTAAGATTTTCCACATCCGGCCAGGCGTGGTGGCTCATGCCTGTAATCCCAGCACTTTGAGAGACTGAGGCTGGCAAATCACCTGAGGTCAGGAGTTCAAGACCAGCCTGCCCAACATGGTGAAACCCCATCTCTACAAAAATACAAAAATTAGCCAGGCATGGTGGTGAGCACCTGTAATTGCTACTTGGGAGGCTAAGGCAGGAGAATCACTTAAACCCAGGAGGCAGAGGTTGCAGTGAGCCGAGATCGTGCCATTGCGCTCCAGTCTGGGCGACAGAGTGACACTCTGTCTCAAAAAAAAAAAAAAAAAAAAATGATTTTCCACTTGCAACCCCAGGTGACCAAGATGACAGGAAATCATCTTTTGGATTTTCTGGTTGATACTGGGGCTACCTATTCAGTTCATAATATTAGATTTTTCTAGTTAACTGAAAACAATGCTAATAACTAAGATCCCTGGAGAAACCTTGAAAAAGCCATTTCTCTAAACTTTAGATCACCAAATGGGCAAATCACACCTAAAACATGGTTTTTAAAATATTTGCTTGAGTGCCCTGTGTCACTGCTAGGATGGGACTTACTAACCAAGCTGAATGCTAGTGACTTTTGCGCCTGGATGGAGGTACATTAAAGTGCCACCAGACAAGCATGAGCCCTCCAGGTGGTGCTACTTCAAGTCAAGGAACCCCCAGTAGAGGTCCCTGAAGACATCTTATAAGACTGGATATATGGGTGGGTCGGATGGTGGGATGGGCACACAGAACAACATCTATGCATGTTAAACTTCTTTCTGGGTCAAGAGTTACAAACTTGAGACAGTATCTACTGAAGGAAAGTTCCAGATTTTCTTCCTTCCTTCCTTCCTTCCTCCCTCCCTCCCTTCCTTCTTTCCTCTCTTTCTTCCTTTTTGCCTTTCTTTCTCTCTCTTTCTCTCTTTATCTCTCTCTCTCTTTCTCTCTCTCTCCTTCTTTCTTTCATTCTTTCTCTCTCTCTCTCTCTCTCTTTCTTTCTTTCTTTCTTTCTTTCTTCTTCTTTCTTTCAATATGGGGTCTCACTATTTTTCCTCAGCCGTTGAAGAAACATAGTGGCTGGTCTGAAACTCCTGGCCTCAAGAGATCCTCCTGCCTCAGCCTCCCAAAGTGCTAAAATTATAGGTGTGAGCCACCCCACCCAGCCTCGCTTTTCTTAACTGCCTTTTTGAATGGGAACTCATCCGCCCATGCTGGTCTCCATATAATACCCCAATTTTGTTAGCACAAAGGCAGGCACACAAGACTATTGACTTACACGGGACTTAACAGCCATTAATTAGATTGTAGAAGATATCCTCCTGCTGATGCTTAACACTTATGCTTTACTTACTATTCTCTCTAGAGACTTTAGCTGGTTTACTGTTGTGGACCTTAAGGATGCATTTTTTTTTGCACATCTCTAAGCTCCAACTCTCAGGGCATTTTGCTTTTGCATGGGAAGATTTTGAGACTAGGGTCAAACAACATGGTTGGACTGTACTCTCTCAAAGTTTTAAGAATTCTTCTACCACTTCTGATGAAATCTTACCCAGAGATATAAGGATCTCCAATTAAAAGAAGGGTCACATCCTAGTTGCCAGCAAGGGTAAGGAAGACTCAGGACAGAATACAATTTGGAATGTAAATTTTCTAGCTGAAGAGGGCTACTAAAGTCTGCAAGAAAAAGGCCCAGATTTCCCCAGAATTCTGTTAAATACTTAAAATTTGAACTGTCACAAAGGTAGAGGAGTTTATACCTTGATCCAAAAGAGGCACTGGTGAGAGTAGCAGTACCTCCTACCAGGAAACAATTGCATGGATTCCTAGGTATGACAGCGTTTTGCCATATCTGTATCCCCAATTTTGAACTGATAGCCAAGCCCCTTCAGGAAGATTTTTAAAGGAAGAGACAATGAGCCTCTCAGTTTGACTCACGAATGCCATAAGCCCTTCCAAGTTATTGAATAAAAATGACAGACTCATTGTTCGTGCTCTAGGTCTTTCAGACATTAGAATGCCTTTTGACCTGTTTGTCAATTAAAGACAAGAGATTAATTTTGAGACATTAACTCCAAATCCAGGTAATATGAGAAGATCCAATGCCTGTTTATCAAAGCAACTGGACATAAGGGCTGAGGGATGACCCATATGCCTGATGGTGATAGCAGCCACCTAGGATTTACTGCAAGAAGCAGAAAAGGTCATCTTGGATCAACCCACTGCTGTACATGCTCCCCACTGTGTACTTCCTCTATTAGAACATAAAGGAGGATATTGACTTACTTTTGGGAGGCTAGGAAAGGACCAAGCCTTACTAGACACTCAATCAGGACATGCGCTAATAATAAAAGGGGTACAACCCAGAGGCTCTGGACTCACAGAAGACAGGTAAATTGAATGTACTTTGCTGAGAGCCACCAGGAATTTCAGGGATTTTGTTGGTATTTATGGACATTTTCACTGGATGGATGGAAGTCTTTCCCCATTAGTTGGAAAAGTCTTCTGAGATTGTAACTGCTCTATTAAAAGAAATAGAGCAGTTGGGCTACCCATGTCTACACAAAGAGACAGTAGAAGAGCCTTTATAACAAAAATAACTCAAGAAGTCTGTGGTGCGTAGACATTCACTGGAAATTATATGCTTCTTGGCAACCACAATCTACTGGCAAGACAGAAAAGATGAATCATACTTTTAAAAAGACTGCAGCTAAAATTCGTCAGGAGACTAATTTACCTTGGGATGAGGTCTCACCCATTGCTCTGCTTCAGATGAGAGTGGCCCCTTGAAGCAAGCTCTAATTGAGCCCCTCTGAACTGTTATATAGAAGACCTGTCCTATGCTCAAAGGATGGACTGGGGGACCTGGAGGGAAGCTGAACTAAAGAATTAGATGCTGTCAGGTGTGTTCAATCATTGGAAGTCTCTCTCACTGCTATACATGAGTTCACTTCTAGCAGGTTAATGTTGCCCACAGATGTTCCTCTGTACCACCTCTGTCCTGGAGACTGGGTTTTATTAAAGTCCTAGAAGAATGAACATCTGGAAGATCAGCTTTGTCCTTGTTGGACCAGGCCTTATGAGGCGCTAATAGTGACCTGTTCTTCAGTCAAATTGAAAGGAGTCAAGCTGTGAATCCATCATACCCAAGTTAAGCTGATCCTAGAATAGTCATTGGACTCATGGCACCTTGTATGCAGAAACACCTCCAGGAATGGAAACCACATGGTAGAACACCGTAGCCAAGATCATCCAAACCTCAGTTGGCAGTAGGCAGTACACACCAGATACTGACTCCTCTAAATGGACCAATAAACCTGGTCCGACTTCACACTGGTGTTTAAGAGACCACCCACCTAAACATAAGCAATGAACTGCTTTCAGGTTCTTGCTTTACTTCTTGGCTTACTTGCTTGCCTTCTAATTCTCCACCTACTCATGACTTACTGTGTATTGCCTGATTGCTTTCTCTGCAAACAGTGCTAACAGATCTTTCCTTAAGTCACCAAACATGATTGCTTTCTTTCTTTTTTTTTTTTGTTGTTGTTGTTGCACCTTCTCATTGATCATAATCTCCAGGGCCCTCTCTGGCTGTTTCAGGCCCCTAGGGTGGAGTCTTCTCTGTGTCCACTCCCACCTCAGCCAGTGCTTGCCCCTGTTGGTAGCATGAGGCTGCTGCCCCTCATGGAAGGAGATGGAGTAGAGGGCCTGTTGACCAGCTCCCTGTAGATCTCCTGCCTCGAGTTCAGTAAAGGCAGTGCCTGCCTGGTAGCCAGTAGAAAGCACTGGAGCTTTGCCTGGCCATTGTTGGACTGGTTCTGCTCCCTGACTGCACACATAACCTTGTGTCACAGATGTCCACCTTGGGAGGAGAGGAGATGGAAGTCTGAGGGCCCAGGATTGACATGGGGGCAGATAGGAGCCTCTCCAGCACTCCCTGCCATCCCTCATATGAGGAAGAACATGAAAAGGACCACCAGGGTTACAATCACCACCAACATGCTCTTGCCAGAGCGGGCCTTCCCCTCAGGTTCCCTTTCCCCCACACTCAGGCAGAGGGTTTGGGTCTGTCCAAGTGGGCTCACAGGCATGGCCTGGATTGGACTGGCTTGCTTTGGTCCACCCTGGGCTACCTTTGACCTCCTGACAAGTGGCCAGAGGAGCTCTTAGAAAATCTTCTTTTATAGCCTAAATGGGTGGGCAGAGGTGGAAGATTGTGGAGACTTTTGAGCAAAAGGCATGTTCCTAAACAGGGACAGAATTGAACCTCTGTAAATGAAAGAAGTAGAATGCTTTCACCTCACCATATTGTCCCCAGGGATACTTTGACCTCCATAGTGAATATTACTGGAGGTCAAAATAAAACTGGTAGTCGTGAAAGTTGCACATGGTAAAAATTACCATTGACAAAAAATTGGTGGGAGATAAATACTTTTAAAAATATTTGATATGCATTATTTGACCAAAAGTGCTTAACAAGATAGAAATAATAACACCTTGGGACAACTTAAAAGGCAGAATCTATAGTCAGCAAATCATGATGTGTAAGAGAAGTCAAGTTATTTATATAAAACATAATTGATCTTCATACAGACATTTTCAGTAAATTCCAAATAAACTGAATCAAAAAATTGTAATGAACAAATTATAACTGGTTTACTGTGCTGTATTAGTCCATTTTCACACTGCTGATAAAGACATACACAAGACTGGGCAATTTACAAAAGAAAGAGGTTTAATGGACTCATAGTTGCACATGGCTGGGGAGGCCTCACAATCATGGTGGAAGGCAAAGAAGAGCAAGTTACATCTTACATGGATGGAGGCAGGCAAAGAAAGAGCTTGTGCAATAAAACTTCTTTTTATGAAACCATCAGGTCTCATGAGACTTATTCACTTTCACAAGAACCGCACGAGAAAGACCTGCCCCCATGATTCAATTACCTCCCACCGGGTTCCTCCCACAACACATGGGAATTCAAGATGAGATTTTGGTGGGGACACAGCCAAACCATATCGTTCCATCCCCGGCCCCTCGCAAATATCATGTCCTCACATTTCAAAACCAATCGTGACTTCCCAATAGTCCCCAAAGTCTTAACTCATTTCAGCATTAATTCAAAAGTCCACAGTCCAAAGTCTCATCTGAGACAAGACAAGTCCTTTCTGCCTATGGGTCTGTAAAATCAAAAGCAAGTTAGTTACTTCCTAGATACAATGGGTGTATAGGTATTGGGTAAATACAGCCATTCCAAATCGGAGAAATTGGCCAAAACAAAGGGGCTACAGGCCCCCTGCAAGTCTGAAATCCAGTGGGGCAGTCAAATCTTAAAGTTCCAAAAAAATGATCTCCTTTGACTCCATGTCTCACATCCAGGTTATGCTGATGCAAGAGGTGGTTCCCATGGTCTTGAGCAGCTCTGCCCCTGTGGCTTTGCAGGGTACAGCCTCCCTCCCAGCTGCTTTCATGGGCTGGCATTGAGTGTCTATGGCTTTTCCAGGTGCATGGTGCAAGCTATCAGTGGATCTACTATTCTGGGGCTGGAGGACAGTGGCCTTCTTTTCACAGCTCCACTAGGCAGTGCCCCAGTAGGGACTCTGTGTGGGGGCTCCAAACCCATATTTCCCTTCTGCACTGCCCTAGCAGAGGTTCTCTATGAGGACCCTGCCCCTGTGGCAAACTTCTTCCTAGAGATCCAGGCATTTCCATATATCCTCTGAAATCTAGGCGGAGGTTCCCAAACCTCAATTCTTCCTTCTGTGCGCTGGAAGCTCAACATCACGTGGAAGCTGCCAAGACTTGGCACTTGCACCTTCTAGAGCCACAGCCCGATTTATACCTTGGACCCTTTTAGCTATGGCTAGAGCAGCTGGATGCAGAGCACCAAGTCCCTAGGCTGCACACAACAGGGGGACCCTGGGGCCTGCCTACAAAACCATTTTATCCTCCCAAGCCTCTGGGCCTGTGATGGAAGGGTCTGCTGCCAAGGTCTGTGACATGCCCTGGAGACGTTTACCCCATTGTCTTGGTGATTAACATTCAACTCCTCATTACTTATGCAAATTCCTGCAGCCTGCTTGAATTTCTCCTCAGAAAATGAGCTTTTCTTTTCTATCATATTGTGAGGCTGCAAATTTTCCAAAATTTTATGCTCTATTTTCCTTTTAAAACTGAATGCCTTAAACAGCACCCAAGTCACCTCTTGAATGCTTTGCTGCTTAGAAATTTCTTCTGCCAGATACCCTAAACCATCTCTCTCAAGTTCAAAGTTCCACAAATCTCTAGGGTGGGGGAAAAATGCTGCCAGTCTCTTTGCTAAAACATAACAAGAGTAACCTTTGCTCCAGTTCCCAACAAGTTCCTCATCTCCATCTGAGACCACCTCAGCCTAGATTTCATTGTCCATATCATTATCAGCATTTTGGGCAAAGCCATTTAATAAGGCTCTAGGGAGTTCCAAACTTTCCCACATTTTCCTGCCTTCTTCTGAGCCCTCCAAACTGTTCCAACCTCTGTCCGTTACCCAGTTCCAAAGTCACTTCCACATTTTTGGGTATCTTTTCAGCAGTGCACCACTCTACTGATACTGATTACGGTATTAGTCTGTTTTCACGATGCTGGTAAAGACATACATGAGAATGGGCAATTTACAAAAGAAAGAGGTTTGATGGACTTACAGTTCCACATGGCTGGGGAGGCCTCACAATCATGGTGCAATGCAAGGAAGAGCAAGTCACATCTTTCGTGGATGGCGGTAGGCAAAGAGAGAGCTTGTGCAAGGGAACTCCACCTTATAATACCATCAGATCTCATGAGACTTATTCACTGTCACAAGAACAGCATGGGAAAGACCTGCCCCCATGATCCAATTACCTCCTACCAGGTCCCTCCCATAACACATGGGAATTTAAGATGAGATTTGGGTGGGGACACAGGAAACCATATCATGTGCTATATTTAAAAAGTATTAAATAATTAAAAGTACTATTGAAGTTTACTCTCAAAGTTGCTCCTCAACTTTTAAAATATTGGTATAATTCTGACGTCAACGTTTATGAAGCAGAGATTTAAAATATTATGAGGGACGGAAGTTCTATGAGGTAAAGTGGCTGGGTCAGAATAGCAGGGTCAATGGAAGGGCAGCATTGGCAAGGTCTGACTGACTTCTGTCATTTTAAATGTGACACAGAGATGACTATGTAAGTTATCCTGTGATCGAATTTGTAAGCAGCTGTATTAATGAGGTTACATTGAATAAACAATTTCAGTGGCATAACACTGTATTTTGCACCCCCCTGGCATGGCTAGATGGGTGCCCAGGTTGGAGAGGCAGCTTTCCTCCCTGTGGTCATCCAGGAACCCAGAGTGTTTCCTTCTTGTGCCTTCACCATTCCTGTGAATGGTGATCATGCAAATTGGGTCATTCTTGTCATACCCAGCTAAAACAGAGTCCAGAGACCAGGGGGAAAAAGCACTCGGGGAATATAACATTGTTTTGAGAATGTAATTCTCGGCAAGCCCAGCTGCTGAAACTGCCTGCTGTAACCTGAAACCAGTTTTCTATTAGTTTCTACAATGACCTGCCAGGAAGCTAAGACTAGTTTTACCCACCATCACCACTCACCAATTAGAGGATGCCAATTCCCTAAAATTTTACTTATGCCAATGACCTTATTTTCAAAACAAAACATAACATAGCTCTTTTTATAAAACCTCCAACCTTCTCTTTGTTCTTGGACATTCTGAAGAGCACTTGGACTATGTGTATTCCCTGAACTGCAATTTGTGCTTTCCCAAATAAAACATTTAAATTTACCCATTCACCAATATATTTTATTTTGACTTTGATATCTGGGGCCTCATCCCTACTTGCATGCATCAGCAGAAGAAGAAAGAGCACGAAGAAATGTCCACAGGAGGATTTTATGGGCCTGGACTGGCAGTGGCTCACATCGATCCCACTCCTCTTCCATTGGCAAGAACTGGCCATGTGACCACGCATAACACAAGAGAGCCTGGGAAATGTAGTCCAACTGTGTGTGCGGAGAAGGGGAGAATGGATTTTGATGGACGACTAGAGTTCTCTGCAACAGTAAACAACGTGTTTGGATTTATTGTGTTTCTCCAATTTTTATGGAGTGTCTGCTGTATTCTGAGCACTGTGCTAAGAGCTGGACAGAGAGCTAATTTAGCAGCACCTTGCGCTAGAAGAAGCTCTCAGTATATAAAGGGAGATAAGACATGGTATGGAGTGCCTGCTATCCTAAGAGACAGAAGGATAAAGTGAAAGTCCTAGAAGTCCCATGAATTATTCTAGAAGGGGAAGCTGCCTGCAGAAGATGGTGATTGAGGTCCACTTTTAGAAATAAAGCAGATTTGGTTGGTGGAGGGAGACAGCAGCAGAAGCTATGGAAGCATGTAATTTGTGTACAAGATGTATTAAGGAACACTATGCAGCAATTAAATCAGATTTTCAAAAACAATTGAATAGCATGGATTAGGGCTCATATCAAGTGAGAAAAGTAACTGGGGATGTAAGTTGATCCCATGTTTGGAAAAACTGTGTGTCTAAGATTAGATGAAAGTATACAGACATGTTGGGTAATAGTTCTTAAATTTTATAAAATATACTGTTTAAGTAATCAGAAGGATTCCATCAATGGGCTTTGGTTTGATATACTATTTTCTGTAAGCCAGATATACATAGTTGTGATGTTGGCCAGTCATTCTCAACATTTCCTAACACTGCTGCCCCTTTTCCCCGACCCCCTACCCTGCTATGAGACGGTGACCTGGTCTCTATTTTCTGCCCTGGAATCTATGTGCTCAATAAATACTCCCTGAAATACCACACTTGGAAAGAGACCTCCTTTTTACAATGTGAAATGAAGAAACAATGACTTCCTCTCGAAGTTATCTTCCAAACATTGATTCTTACAAAATTGGGATATGATCTAACTGCAAGCCCATAGCAATGTCTAAATTTGAATGTTGTCTTTTGCTGACGCCAAATGCAGAGCCCTGCAGCATTTGTCATGCAGGGCTCTCATGTGACCACCAGAGGGCAGTGCATGACTGCTATGACATTGTTTACTTCAAAATGTTTGCAAGTGAGCCTTCTTGAGAAAATAAATGTTTTATAAACTTCGAGAATTTGTTTTTTTCTTTAAAATAAGGAATTATTTCTTTAACAGCAAATAAAGTTTAGAAAATTTAGTTCTGTACCTTAGTTCAAACTATCTGTATTTTACAGTCTATAAGGCTCATTGTCAGCACCACAAAGCTGTGTAACCAATCTTCTTACCCATCCTGTGTGACAGGTTTTGTTTGTTCTTTTTTAAAGGTAAAAGTCTAAGAAAATGCTTCATAAATCCTACTTTCAGACCTTGAAGTGGAATACTTCTAGTTACACTATGTAAAAACTTGGGTTGTACCTTGTTATTTTCATTGAACAGATAGCAAAAGAAAAAAAAAGGAGAAAGTAAAAATGAAAAGAACTGTTCTACATCCTGAATTTAGGCTGTCAGTCTATATATTGAATTTATAACACTGAAGCATCAGAAGCAACCTAATAATGTCCTGCTCCGTCCTTCCTTTCCATTTATAATTTTTAAAAAGGCAACCAAAAAAATGTTTCATTCATTCTTCAAAATAAGTTGCAAAGAAGGATCGCAACAGTGAATGTCCTCATTCACACTTCCAATAACATCTCAATGTTGCTCACCATAATCTGCCATGAACCGATTCAGGAGCCACCCAGAGCTTTATTCACGGCTTCCGAATGTACCATGTTTCCTATACCAGAAGCCTGCCCAATGTCAGCGTCTCTCTGTTCAGAGGCCATAACAACTTTTGTCACGGCTGGCCTGGATTTAAAGCAACATTCCAGATTCCAGAACTAGTTTTATTGTCTCAGCTGTTTTCTTCCTCTTCAGGATTTATCAATTTTAGAAAAAAGGGTGTATATTTGTCTTGCCTCTTTCTTTCTTTCTTTCTTTCTTTCTTTCTTTCTTTCTTTCTTTCTTTCTTTCTTTCTTTCTTTCTCTTGCCTCTTTCTTTCTTTGTCTCACCTCTTTCTCTTTCTTTCTTTCTTTCTTTCCTTCCTTCCTTCCTTCCCTCCCTCCCGTTCTTCCTTCCCTCTCTCTTTCTTTCCCTCTTTTCCTTCCTTCCTTCTTTCTTTCTTTCCTTTCTTTCTTCTTTCTTTCTCCTTTCTTTCTTTCTTTCTTTCTTTTCTTTCTCTTGCCTCTTTCTTTCTTTGTCTTGCCTCTTTCTCTTTCTTTCTTTCTTTCCTTCCTTCCTTCCCTCCCTCCCTCCCTTCCTTCCCTCTCTCGTTCTTTCCCTCTTTTCCTTCCTTCCTTTCTTTCTTTCCTCTTACTTTCTTTCTTTCTTTCCTTCCTTCCTTCCTTCCTTCCCTCCCTCCCTCCCTCCCTTCCTTCCTTCCCTCTCTCTTTCTTTCCCTCTTTCCCTCTTTTCCTTCCTTCCTTCTTTCTTTCTTTCTTTCTTTCTTTCTTTCTTTCTTTCTTTCCTTCCTTCCTTCCTTCCTTCCTTCCTTCCTTCCTTCCTTCCTTCCTTCCTTTCTTTCTATCTTTCTTTCTTTCTTTCTTTCTTTCTTTCTTTCTTTCTTTCTTTCCTCTTTCCTCTTTCTTTCTTCCTTCCTTCCTTCCGTCCTTCCTTCCTTCCTTCCTTCCTTCCTTCTTTCTTTGCTCACTACAACCTCTGCCTCCTGGGCTCAAGAGGTCTTCCCACCTCAGCCTCCCGAGTAGCTGGGACCACAAGCACATGCCACCCATCGGCTAATTTTTGTATTTTTAGTAGAGACAGGGTTTCGCCATGTTGCCCAGGCTGGTCTCAAGTTCCTGGGCCCAGGCAATCCGCCCGCCTCGGCCTCTCAAAGTGCTGTGATTACAGGCATGAGCCAGAGCACCTGGCCTTGTCTTGCCGTTGTCAAAGAATCTGTGCATATCACATTTTAAGACCACATTTCCCAAGCTAGAACTTTCAGTAAGCTTGTTGTTCAAAGTACAAAATTCTTATCTGTTTTAAAAAAATTTAATTGAAGATTAGTACCTCTGCTTTCCTCTGACAGAAGGACAGGATTCATTATACCATGGTTGAAAACTAAACTTCATGTATACGAATGGCTAGAGAGGTCTGAAGTTTTATAGAGCCCTTAACATCACTCAAGCGCACTTGGCATTGGCCAGACCACAGTGGGAAACATGTCAGCAAATTGAGGAAAAGAGACTTTCCCAAGTACACGATGGTCATCCAGGCTCCATGTCACTCACATAAAAATCTGAGCAACATGTAATCCCATCCCCACCCTCACACCAAAGCCTTGCACCTCACAGAATATCTTAATGTTCCCCATTACTAATGACAGCTGCTCCCGTTTCTGCTGCTGTGGCAGGGAGTCTTGGCACTGTCTTAGCAGGGCTTGGAATATGATCAGTTACTGTGTTTGAATGCACAAGTCTGACTCCTTCATCCCAAGTGTCATTATTTGGAGAAGGACACGGAGTGTAACTTCTTCTGTGCTTTTCACCCACCATAGCTAAGTACCATGTTTCTTCAAAGAGTGAATCTCTTGGGCCCCGGGGAACAGAGTTGACCAAGTGATGGGTGTCCTCTCTGAGCTTCATGTTTTCAACAAAGACATCTGGTACCACACAAGTTCTTGAGCTACACCTTGATTTAAGATCCCATAAGCTTGCTGTTATTTTATCAACAGCAGACCATGGTGTGGCATCTGGTGGAACTTTAAGAGAGTACAGGGTGGCGGCTGAACCAGAACCGTACGAGAACACTCCAGTCTCTTCCCTGATCATTGCTGAGGTGAGTACTGCGCTGGGACAGTTGCGGGGAACCATATACTGACGATGTGTACGTATTTCCATTTTCACTGGATACAGCAAAGATGCCTTTGTTTTCTGATGGGAGAGTTCGGAACTATCCTTCATAAATGCCATCTCCACATCTGTATCAAAATAGATGTCTTCTAATTTAACATTCCCAAAGGCTTCCAGGACATTCTAAACACTATTTTTATCTCTGTTCTGATCATTAAGGAAGTCATTCCGCAACATCCGAGCTAGAGATAAACTCACCAGTTTACAATATGGTGAGTGAAGGATCAAGAAGCCAAAATTATTCAAGGTAAAATCTTTATCATTTCCGTCTTTCTGCCACTGGGCACGGATCGTTTTGCAGTCGACAGAATAGCAGTGATCTAATGCACTGAAGCAGCACTGTGTGGAGGGTTTTCCATCTACTATAGGACATTCAGAGAGCATATCAGGCTCATAAAAGCCATAGGCACGTTGCATATGTGTCCCACGAAGCCCTCGTTCAAAAATTAAAGTTGCATTTGGCTCAATTAGCAGAGCTACTGCTCTGACTCTACCTGTCAGTCTAACTTTTCCTGTGGGATATACAGCAATATCTCCTACAAACTCCAGGGCAAACTGTCCATCCCAGGAGCTGGACTCAATCCAGTTAACAGCACTGAAGACAGCAGCTGGGGCTCCATAGCATGCATGAGTTGTGTCGGTTCCTTCTATATCTATATCCCCAGACTCCTCAAACAGCTGCATCAAATTAGTCTTCACTGACTTTGATTTGTCCTTGATTGTCTCTGTTCCAACTTCCAGTCGGCCAGTGCAATCGTAGGAAAGATTTTTTCTCTCCATAAGATTCTGAACCACAGGCATGCAAAGAGAGTTGATCTCTTCTCCATGTGTGCAGGAGCCCATCTTGGCCTGGCCCAAGCCAATGGTATACTTTCCAGCATCTATATCAACATACTTTTCCAACTTTGAAAATATTTCCTTGGCATGCCTCAGGTCTGATATCCATTCACCGTGTCCAATCCCAGGCTAGTCTTGGACCTCCTGACTTCGTGTTCGGTTTGGTGCCGGAACTGGATCTGGTGGCTCTGTTGCCACCTCTGCTGCCCTCCCAGCACCGCTCAGTTGCACGCCCTGCAAGCCCAGGCCATGGGCCCAATCCTAGAGAATTTGTAAAGAAATATTTATTTGCTTTTATTTTTCAATTTAAATGGGAAGCCAGTGAAAATTCCACACAAGAAACAAATATAAGACAATCCAGTTACTGGGAGATACACCTTGTGATGCGTGCAAACTTGTAAAATTATTTGTCCATCCTCAGGATTTGCATCCAGATTCATCTCTCCTTCCTCCATCTATAAACATCTGTCTATATAAAATATCTTTTGACGATTAGATGTAATGCACTAAAGATATCTGGTAATCATGTTACTTCTTTGTGATAGGAATCTTTTGGTAGCAAGTGATCTGCTTATGGGATGGTGAGAATATAATGGAAACAAGGGAGGACAGAATACAGGCGATCAGCAGGAGGTCTCAGCCACAAGTGTGAGAAAGTGGACATCTCATGGTTAGCATAGCCAAAGTCTAGTATACATTGTCTGCTATCCCCAAAGAACTCAGTGTCTGTGTGCGAACTTTGCAAAAATCCTTCCTTCTTTCCTTCCTACCTTCCTTCCTTCCTCCCTCCTTTTCTCTTTCTTTCTTTCTTTCTTTCTTTCTTTCTTTCTTTCTTTCTTTCTTTCTTTCTTTCTTTCT